>NC_000004.12:79830471-79981987 GCF_000001405.40 Homo sapiens | reverse complement strand
ATGAGAGCCAAGAGCATACACACATCCCTAACTAACCTATAATTCAAGTTTCAAGAGTTTTTAACTCTCAATATGTGAAATTATGTTGCCCACACATCCTTTTCAGTTGAACAAAATTTGTGACGAAAAACCGCAGCCAACTTGTAATAAATCTGGGTCCATTTTAGTTTTGGATAATTTTGGCTACCTTGCATGGAGTATTCCATCAACAAGATGGAAATGAGAATGAGAATGAAGAAAAAAATGGAAAAGCAAGTGTGGATGTTACAAAGGGGAAACACGATACACGTTGAGTATCCCTTATCTGAAATGATTGGAACTAAAAGTGTTTTAGATTTTGGATTTTTTTCAGATTTCAGGACATTTGCACATACTTAATATGATATCTTGGGGAGGGGAGCCAAGTTTAAACATCAAATTTATTTTTGTTTGATATATACCCTATACACATAAGAGGAATATGTTTGACACACACCTTATACACACATAAGAAGAATATGTATATAAGGTGTGCGTCAAACATAAATGAATTTAAAATATACCATAAATACACAAACGTAATATACAAGCATAAATGAATTTTAAAATATACAATGTTTTAAAATAATTTTGTGCATGAAACAAAGTGTCAACTGTGACCCATCAGATGAGGTCAGGTTTGGAGTTTTCCTCTTATGCTGTTAAGTTGGCACTTCATGGGTTTCAGGTTTTAGAGCATTTTGAATTTTAGATTTTTGAACTATACTCAACCTGTATATAAAAATACACAGTAAAAATTGAACTGAGAATTAAGCATCATTAAACATTTTCAAACATTAATTTATTTAAATGTGGAGATGGAAATGTTTCATTTATCTATTTATTTTTTAAGAAATCTGGAGTGGATGATGGGGAGTTCTCATTATGTTGCCCTGGCTGGTCTTGAACCCCTGAGCTCAAGCGATTCTCTCGATTCTCTCATGTAGCTGGGGCTACAGGCAGGTGCCACTGTGCAAACAAAATTTGTTTTAAAAGCATGCTTATTCAAACCTGGAAGGTACTTCTCTTTTTTTTTTTTTTTTTTTTTAAAGCCCTTAAACTAGGAAAAGTAAAAGGAATTATAGAAATTATGAGCACATGTGAATTACAGAACACATTTTTATAGCTAAGGTTATTTTAAGCCAGCATAGGGATTTTTACCTAGAATTTTTTTCTTCCTTCTTCTTTAAATTAAATATTTAAACACTATGGTAATGGGAATTTTTAGAAAGCTGGAACGGAGATGATGTTAATAACAGCTGTTAGCACAACTGATCCACAATACCTAATGACTTCAAATGTGTGTTTCTGCCAATTCAGTGTGAAACTGTTTTTGTTTCTTTTCTCGATTCTGAAATTGCTCCTCAATGATATAACCTTCTAGTCATCCAAATATGCTCTGGAAATTATGGAATTTTATTGCTTATAATGAAAGCCAAGTGGAGTTGGAAGAATTTAGCTATCAAGCTTACACTTATTTTTTTCCATAATAAAGCCTGATATATTAATTCTGCTAAGGCTTCCTTTAGCAGTCTATTGTTGTTATTCTTTTGTCCTTTTTAACTGTCTCAATGTGGTCAAACTAAAACATTAAAATTTATGCATACATACACATACACATATATATGTATATTTAATTGTTTTTAAGAGTTTGAAAACTGTAATAATTTCTAGTTTCAGACTTTGAGTAAGTGAGAATTGTTTGTGGTGGTGTTTGTGGTGGTGATGATGTTGATGATGATTAAATAGCTCCCTCATGAACTAAAACTAATGAATTTCTTTAATGGATCTTCTTTAGATCTCAGCAACTATATTTCTCAAGTATAGTCATTTGATAGTGTAGTACCTAGAAATGCCACATTGGGTCAGAACTCTAGTTTAACTAGCTTCATATATATATTTTTTTAATCTGAGAATAGTGCCAGTGAAACTTGAAAGAAGAATATGATTATCATTACCTCTGCAATATCAACTGTGAAACATAGGCGAGAGAGCTGTCTATTCTAAAGCCTATCATTTCTGAATGGATCTAAATTGTATCTACTTCTCTTTCTACCCTGAATGACTTCTCTAAGTTAAGACATTTGTGTCTTTACTTAATTGTGTATCTTTTTTTTCCTTAAAATTGAGCCTTTACAACTGCAAGGATATGTGTCCTGATTTTAGAGTTTTTAATACAATTTAGCTATATCTAAAGATTTTATAAGTGTTAGTTTATCCAGGTGATGACACTGTGATTGGAAAGAGAAGGTCATTTCTCTGGAAAGAAAGCCAACTATCTAGCTCTAAAGGTTTAGTGGTGTTTAAAACAATTTTAACAACCTCATAAAAACATTCTAGTATCATTGATCACACTGAAAGATATAGATACATTTTAATGACTCAACAGGGCCCACTTGAAATTGAAAGCCCATTCTAAAATTGTAGTAAAAAAAGGTAAAAACATCTAAGTAAGCCTTATCAAAAAGACTGAATAGTTCTTTCCATGAATAGTAATCTTCTCTATCCCTACCCACTAATTCAGATCATTAAAATGCTTTAGGAAGTCTTAGGATTTTTTTTTTTCTTTTTAGAAATCACTTAACTCTGATGTGTCATAGTGTGCCCTCGGTAGCTCTTATTATAGGTTTTTAGAGCTTCACTCCTCTGACCTCGCCCATTTTTGGTGATGTCCTTGGTTTTTGTAGGGCTTTCCACTACTCCTGGTTGGACAAGCTCTTCTCCAGGGGCTGCATCCTATTTTTACATGCCCAGTTTGACTCAAATTTAGCTCTTAATTTCTGTCTATTGAAAAATACAACAATCATTTGCTCTTAATTTCTGTCTATTGAAAAATAAAACAATCATTTGATCTTATGGTTTTTCAATGTCAAGAATTTTCAGAGGAGGAAATTTGCTATAATTTGTGGAATTCTCTAGGGTTCCTGAACTTTTCTTTTCAAAGCAGTCTTTTCAGATTTGACCTCCTCAATGAAAAAAATCATATGCCACACAACCATACTCAGATGAGCTTGGGAACTAAAGGCTGAACACTATATTACTTAGAACTATAAAAGTAAAGAAAACTCATATATAATTATTTTACTTTCAAAAACTAAATGTTCAGATCATACTTTTTGCCTTAATCAGATGTGATGAAAAGTTTGGAAGAAGCAACTCTTTTGTATAAAATACATTTGTAAAATTCTAACCAATTGGAAACTTATTAACCCATTTCAATCCATGTTCGAATCCCTGCCCTGTCACTTACTAGCTGGCTTTGGGCATATCACTTAACCTCCCTGTGCCTCATCTGGAAAGAAGAAAATAGAGTCTCTATCTCACTGCATTTTTGTATGGATTAAATGCAGACTGACACATAGTAATCACTCAGTAAATGCTAACTATCGTCATTTTCATATATTTCTTCCAGTGTCATCACTACATATGGGTATGTGTTTAGCTAGCAGGGGAACAAACCAAATTAGAGAACAAAATTACACACTGTCATGCATTTCATATGTAAACCACAAATGGACTCTTTATTTAAAACTATGGAAAAATGGTTGCTTCAAATTTAGTTGGCTCCAGATTTTTTTACAAAGGGTTTTTTTTTTTTTTGGATCTTAATATTAAATACAGTCAGGAGTGGTGAGAAACCTATTTAGCCTCTGAAGAGGAGAAATTAGGAATTAGGATACCTGCTCATCTTCTTTTTCACTCTGAGATGTGAACTAAAGGACCATAGGCTCAATAAGAGCCTGTTCCTCTAGGACACTTTATGTCTGATAACAGTACTCTCCCTTTGTTTTACAGGTTCGTTGGGGTGATAAAGGATCTACTGAGGAAGGTGCAAGGCTAGAGAAAGCCAAAAATGCTGTGGTGAAGATTCCTGAAGAAACAGAGGAACCCATCAGGCCTAGACCACCTCGACCCAAACCCACACACCAGCCTCCTCAGACAAAATGGTACACCCCAATTAAGGTATGTGTCCAGATTTTGTGTAATTTAACTCAAAACTTCTGGAGACATTGTAACTTTTTTTGTACCACATCCCCCCAGCTACTTGAAAGAGGGTAGATGAAATTGCAGATATTCATTGTACACTCTTAACAGCTGAATACTTTCTTGGCAATAAGAACCTCTAGGTTTTTATTACTTATTAGTTTACCTTATGAAAGAAATGAGGGTAAAGAAGATTTTACTTTCTTCGTTTTATGTCTTCATTTATTCAGTACATAGAGATTGAGTACATTCTCTGGGAATTCACAAATCTCATTTTCCCTTAGGGTCGTCTTGATGCTCTCTGGGCTTTGTTGAGGCGGCAGTATGACCGGGTTTCTTTGATGCGACCTCAGGAAGGAGATGAGGTTTGTATATGGGAATGTATTGAGAAAGAGCTAACTGCTTGAGTCAGTATAATGGAGGCAGGGAAATAGTAATAAAAAATGATTTTAAAGCCCTATTGCACTTGAGGAAGGAAATACTGTCAAGTGTAGATTTCTATTACATAGAATTGTCTATAAATTACCTATTGTTAGAATGCATCTTCAAACTACATTTTTACACCATTCCCTTTTCAAGAAATTCTTTACAATTCTGGTCATTTGTACACATACTTTAATAAGCACAATCATTGCATCAGCCCTTGACTTTGAAGACAAAATGTTCCAACAGACTGGGAGTTAGTAGCTGAAGTCCTTCTCTAGCATTTAGTAGCATTTAGTAGCAATAAGGCCTAGGGCAAAGGCCTCAGAATCTGTTTTATAGATATAAATATGTTCCCTGCCTTCAACAGTTGATGTAATCGAATTTCTTGACTATTACGTAAAAGTGTCTTTAAAGTTATAAAGCATTATAAAAATCTGTGATAGTGATAAACACACACACATACACACATATGGATATGTATATATTTTTTCCCCACCAGGGAAGCCTGTCTGAGGCTATATTTTTGTTTTGGAAATATGGCTACAATTACTCTAGTTTTGTAATTTCAGTAATATAGTAGTACTATTTCCCATTGTATTGATGTAAGAAAAATTGATTAAAACCTTTTCATATGTAACAATGGATAGGTTTGGTTCAGAGACAGTACAGTTCATAATAGTAGTGATGCAGGGCAGGTGAGCCCTAAAATTGAAGGTTAGCCTGGGAGAGTTCTTAACTTCATCTAAGAAGGAATCTGATGCAGGGCAGGAAGGCTCCCAAATTGGAGCTTAGCCCAGGAAGGTTCCTGGCTTCATCCAGAAAAGAATTCAAGGGTAAGCCAGAGGTGTTAGCAACTTTTGTTGAAGCGACAGTGCATAGCAGCAGCAGAGGTACTACTCCCTGTGGAGCAGGGCTACCCTATAGGCATCGTGCTCAGAGGAGCAGCTCAGAGGCAGTTCTGTAGTCATATTGATACCCACTTTTAATTATATGAAAATTAAGGGGTGGATCATGCAGACATTTCTAGAAAAGGTGTGACAACTTCCGGGTCATCGGGTCATTGTCATGGAAAGTGGTGGTAACTTCTGGGTGTTGCCATGGCAATGGCAAACTGACATGGCACCCTGGTCAGTGTGTCTTATGGGAAAGTGTTTTTGCCCCATCCCTGTTTTAGTTAATCATCAATTAGGTCTGGTGTCCAAGCCTCACCTCCAGAATCCAGTACTGCCTCCTACCTCATTAGAATTGTTTTCACTGTGTGTCAACATGATCATTCCTCTGTTTTAACAAGGGAATAAACTTAATGAACTTCAACTTCAGGGGATTTTTTTTTTAAATGCGATTTGAGGGCCGGGCGCGGTGGCTCACGCCTGTAATCCCAGCACTTTGGGAAGCCGAGGCGGGCGGATCACGAGGTCAGGAGATCGAGACCATCCTGGCTAACATGGAGAAACCCCGTCTCTACTAAAAATAAAAAAAATTAGCAGGGCGTGGTGGCGGGCGCCTGTAGTCCCAGCTACTCGCGAGGCTGAGGCAGGAGAATGGCGTGAACCTGGGAGGCGGAGCTTGCAGTGAGCCGAGATCTTGCCACTGCACTCCAGCCTGGGCGACAGAGAGAGACTACGTCTCAAAAAAAAAAAAAAAAGTGTAATTTGAGAAAATTTATTCCTGGAATTTTCCCCAACAGATCATCATTTACTGTTTGCTAAGACCATAAGTAGAGAGAACTAGTTGGTTTATAAAGCAGTCTCTGTCATGATCCAATCACTGTGGTTCTTCATAATGACATTTGTATCTTTTTAAATTCATCTGTGATCTGGAGTTCTGTTCTGGAACAACATGTACTAACTCTTCTTCCTCTTCTACATGCTAGACTTTAACTTCATGTATTTTAAAATTGTTTTCATGCATCATCTTAGTTTTTATTCCCCAGGTTAGACACTAGTTTATTTGTTCAATAATTTTCACCTTATTAAGTGCTGGGTATTGAGCTAACATTGAATATATACTAGCCAATAAAAACAGACAGTGGTCTCAGTTCTCTTGCTAATGCTTTATATTTTCTTTTAACTGTCATGATTGTAATTTAGTTTATAGTCTTTCATTATTCCTATTAATTTTGATTCAATTCAATAATTTTTGGATTATGAATATGTAAAAGCAATGGCATCAAGTAATATCAAAGGGTAGAAACAAACAGCAGCCTCCGCCCTTAAGAAACCTGAACTTTGGGAAACAAGACATGTACAAAAATAAGATCTATTCTGGAATGTGTTCTGGGTACTCTTGAGTGCATAGGAAAGTAAAGATTAGCTCTCCCTCAGGAGAGATTAGGGAAAGCTTCTTCAAAAATATAGGTGCCCTGTCTTTGAATATAGGTAGGAGATATGTAGAATGAACATTTCCATAGATGTGGCATCATGAGCAAAGTCACTGAGGCAGTGATTCGTGGTTTGCTAGATAATCTGGGGTTCAGAAGTGAAAACCAGAAAGATTCACTGGGAATAGAAAAGAAGAAATATGTGAGTTTAGATAATTGGTATGTTTAGTTTTTAAAATGATGCATTATAATCATTCATTCAACAAATATTTACCTAGTGCCTAACATATATCAGGTAATCTGTTAGATATCAAATAAATTTAACATTCTTCTTAAATTATAATGCTATAATATTTCACATGTTGCCCCAGCAGGTTAAATTATTTATTTTTTCATGTTTGAAGAATAATGCTTCCCTTTCCATTATTTTGACCAAGATTTTCTTCCTTTTTCTTTTTTTTTTTAATCAATATGCTCACACTTTTGTCTAAGATAAGTCCAAAGCCTTTATTCTAACTCTTGAGGTCAGATTATTTCAAAATTCAGGATTTTTCTGATTTTAGGAATATGATATAATCTATTTATCAAATATTATGTAAAGCATCATCTCCTAATCATATTATTCAGACATTTTTCTATTATATATTAATATATATGAATTGTAAAACTTGTTGCTTCCAAATGAATTTTGGTGACAAATGTAGGGTAAAACTTTCAGTTTTCAAAGATTTTGAACCTCAGAGATATAGATAAAATATAATTGACTTTTATTATGTGAGGTTAACTAAAACCCCACTTTTTCCACTCTGTGCTATTTATGCCTTTTTTAAAATTTGTTTTTACTTAAGTGCGGGACTTCAGGCTTAGTAAACATCAGTTGTCGATTCAATTAATTGATTTGTTTTTTTCATCAGATACATATTATGATTCTATGTGTGCCTGATGCAGTCTGAGTTAATCTTTTATCGTCATACCTATTCTTTTTAGCTTTAGTACTTCTGATGTTTTCTTACCTGCAAATTTTTATTTCAAGCCACTGTTGAAACCTCAGTGTGGCATCCCATGAGAGCCTTTTCTCACAGATGGACACTTCACAGTTAAGTGTCATTAGTATGTTAAAGCTAGGAACCTACCCAAAAGTACAAACTCAGTTTACTACATGATTCCCAAGGATTTTTAATAAATTGTGTTAAATTCCTTGCTGAATTTAAGGTATAATGTATATCTATCTATTCACCCATCCAACCAAACCAACCACAGATTCTTCACTCAAGAAAATCAGGTAAGCTTGGCATGATTTGCCGTTTTGCCTTTATGTTTCTTGCTAGTGCTTTTTTATAATATTTATTATTTTGTTTTAGACTGAGGTTTTATGTGAAATCTGTAGTTATCAGCATATGACCTTTACCTTTTAGACAACTTGAGAAATCTTCACCCCCATCCCCCACATTTTTATTTCCCAGCTTTCCATTTTCATTGTTTCACAAAGATTATTAAGAATACCTGAATGTGGCCAGGTGTGGTGGCTCACACCTGTAATCCCAGCACTTTGGGAGGCCAAGACAGGTGGGTCACTTGAGGCCAGGAGTTGGAGACTAGCCTGGCCAACATGGTGAAACCCTGTCTCTACCAAAAAATAGAAAAATTAGCCAGGCGTGGTGGGGCACACCTGTAGTCCCAGCTACTCAGGAGGCTGAGTTGAAAGAACCACTTGAACCCAGGAGGTGAAGGTTGCAGTAGTGAGCTGAGATCGCAGTAGTGAGCTGAGATCGCACCACTGCCCTCCAGCCTGGACAACAGAGGGAAAAAAAAAAAATCCAAATTTATGTCAACTCCACATCATCAACCAGGTCTTCTTTATTTCATAAAATTAACTCCCATATAAATTCCCTATCCCACACACATATAAACCTGAACCTACATTTTTCCAGAGATTTAATCATAAAAATACACAGCAAGAATTCTTCCACTACTTTAGTGAAATAGCTTTCTGTACATTATTAGGATAATTGAAGGGCCCCAACATTTTTTATAAGTTTACAGTATGTATTAGGAAACCATACTATTTTGGTTTCACCATCTCTAGAGTGCTATCTTACTTCCCTTCCTCCCCACCTTCCTCTTTCCCTCCCTCTTTTCCTTCCTTCCTTCTTCTTTTATCTTTGTTTCTTCTTAAATGCATTTATTTCCACTATGCTTTCACTTTGTTTTGACAATTTCTTATACTAGTTTATACATTTTTATATGTTAATTTTCAGTTGGCTTCTTGTGAACAAATGAAGCCTTCGGACGCCCTATTCTTTTTTTTTTTTTTTTTTTATTATACTCTAAGTTTTAGGGTACATGTGCACATTGTGCAGGTTAGTTACATATGTATACATGTGCCATGCTGGTGCACTGCACCCACTAATGTGTCATCTAGCATTAGGTATATCTCCCAATGCTATCCCTCCCCCCTCCCCCGACCCCACCACAGTCCCCAGAGTGTGATATTCCCCTTCCTGTGTCCATGTGATCTCATTGTTCAATTCCCACCTATGAGTGAGAATATGCGGTGTTTGGTTTTTTGTTCTTGCGATAGTTTACTGAGAATGATGGTTTCCAATTTCATCCATGTCCCTACAAAGGATATGAACTCATCATTTTTTATGGCTGCATAGTATTCCATGGTGTATATGTGCCACATTTTCTTAATCCAGTCTATCATTGTTGGACATTTGGGTTGGTTCCAAGTCTTTGCTATTGTGAATAGTGCCGCAATAAACATACGTGTGCATGTGTCTTTATAGCAGCATGATTTATACTCATTTGGGTATATACCCAGTAATGGAATGGCTGGGTCAAATGGTATTTCTAGTTCTAGATCCCTGAGGAATCGCCACACTGACTTCCACAATGGTTGAACTAGTTTACAGTCCCACCAACAGTGTAAAAGTGTTCCTATTTCTCCGCATCCTCTCCAGCACCTGTTGTTTCCTGACTTTTTAATGATTGCCATTCTAACTGGTGTGAGATGATATCTCATAGTGGTTTTGATTTGCATTTCTCTGATGGCCAGTGATGATGAGCATTTCTTCATGTGTTTTTTGACTGCATAAATGTCTTCTTTTGAGAAGTGTCTGTTCATGTCCTTCGCCCACTTTTTGATGGGGTTGTTTGTTTTTTTCTTGTAAATTTGTTTGAGTTCATTGTAGATTCTGGATATTAGCCCTTTGTCAGATGAGTAGGTTGCGAAAATTTTCTCCCATGTTGTAGGTTGCCTGTTCACTCTGATGGTAGTTTCTTTTGCTGTGCAGAAGCTCTTTAGTTTAATTAGATCCCATTTGTCAATTTTGTCTTTTGTTGCCATTGCTTTTGGTGTTTTGGACATGAAGTCCTTGCCCACGCCTATGTCCTGAATGGTAATGCCTAGGTTTTCTTCTAGGGTTTTTATGGTTTTAGGTTTAACGTTTAAATCTTTAATCCATCTTGAATTAATTTTTGTATAAAGTGTAAGGAAGGGATCCAGTTTCAGCTTTCTACATATGGCTAGCCAGTTTTCCCAGCACCATTTATTAAATAGGGAATCCTTTCCCCATTGCTTGTTTTTCTCAGGTTTGTCAAAGATCAGATAGTTGTAGATATGCGGCATTATTTCTGAGGGCTCTGTTCTGTTCCATTGATCTATATCTCTGTTTTGGTACCAGTACCATGCTGTTTTGGTTACTGTAGCCTTGTAGTATAGTTTGAAGTCAGGTAGTGTGATGCCTCCAGCTTTGTTCTTTTGGCTTAGGATTGACTTGGCAATGCGGGCTCTTTTTTGGTTCCATATGAACTTTAAAGTAGTTTTTTCCAATTCTGTGAAGAAAGTCATTGGTAGCTTGATGGGGATGGCATTGAATCTGTAAATTACCTTGGGCAGTATGGCCATTTTCACGATATTGATTCTTCCTACCCATGAGCATGGAATGTTCTTCCATTTGTTTGTCTCCTCTTTTATTTCCTTGAGCAGTGGTTTGTAGTTCTCCTTGAAGAGGTCCTTCACATCCCTTGTAAGTTGGATTCCTAGGTATTTTATTCTCTTTGAAGCAATTGTGAATGGGAGTTCACCCATGATTTGGCTCTCTGTTTGTCTGTTGTTGGTGTATAAGAATGCTTGTGATTTTTGTACATTGATTTTGTATCCTGAGACTTTGCTGAAGTTGCTTATCAGCTTAAGGAGATTTTGGGCTGAGACGATGGGGTTTTCTAGATAAACAATCATGTCGTCTGCAAACAGGGACAATTTGACTTCCTCTTTTCCTAATTGAATACCCTTTATTTCCTTCTCCTGCCTGATTGCCCTGGCCAGAACTTCCAACACTATGTTGAATAGGAGCGGTGAGAGAGGGCATCCCTGTCTTGTGCCGGTTTTCAAAGGGAATGCTTCCAGTTTTTGCCCATTCAGTATGATATTGGCTGTGGGTTTGTCATAGATAGCTCTTATTATTTTGAAATACGTCCCATCAATACCTAATTTATTGAGAGTTTTTAGCATGAAGGGTTGTTGAATTTTGTCAAAGGCTTTTTCTGCATCTATTGAGATAATCATGTGGTTTTTGTCTTTGGCTCTGTTTATATGCTGGATTACATTTATTGATTTGCGTATATTGAACCAGCCTTGCATCCCAGGGATGAAGCCCACTTGATCATGGTGGATAAGCTTTTTGATGTGCTGCTGGATTCGGTTTGCCAGTATTTTATTGAGGATTTTTGCATCAATGTTCATCAAGGATATTGGTCTAAAATTCTCTTTTTTGGTTGTGTCTCTGCCCGGCTTTGGTATCAGAATGATGCTGGCCTCATAAAATGAGTTAGGGAGGATTCCCTCTTTTTCTATTGATTGGAATAGTTTCAGAAGGAATGGTACCAGTTCCTCCATGTACCTCTGGTAGAATTCGGCTGTGAATCCATCTGGTCCTGGACTCTTTTTGGTTGGTAAACTATTGATTATTGCCACAATTTCAGAGCCTGTTATTGGTCTATTCAGAGATTCAACTTCTTCCTGGTTTAGTCTTGGGAGAGTGTATGTGTCGAGGAATGTATCCATTTCTTCTAGATTTTCTAGTTTATTTGCGTAGAGGTGTTTGTAGTATTCTCTGATGGTAGTTTGTATTTCTGTGGGATCGGTGGTGATATCCCCTTTATCATTTTTTATTGTGTCTATTTGATTCTTCTCTCTTTTTTTATTAGTCTTGCTAGCGGTCTATCAATTTTGTTGATCCTTTCAAAAAACCAGCTCCTGGATTCATTGATTTTTTGAAGGGTTTTTTGTGTCTCTATTTCCTTCAGTTCTGCTCTGATTTTAGTTATTTCTTGCCTTCTGCTAGCTTTTGAATGTGTTTGCTCTTGCTTTTCTAGTTCTTTTAATTGTGATGTTAGGGTGTCAATTTTGGATCTTTCCTGCTTTCTCTTGTAGGCATTTAGTGCTATAAATTTCCCTCTACACACTGCTTTGAATGCGTCCCAGAGATTCTGGTATGTGGTGTCTTTGTTCTCGTTGGTTTCAAAGAACATCTTTATTTCTGCCTTCATTTCGTTATGTACCCAGTAGTCATTCAGGAGCAGGTTGTTCAGTTTCCATGTAGTTGAGCGGCTTTGAGTGAGATTCTTAATCCTGAGTTCTAGTTTGATTGCACTGTGGTCTGAGAGATAGTTTGTTATAATTTCTGTTCTTTTACATTTGCTGAGGAGAGCTTTACTTCCAACTATGTGGTCAATTTTGGAATAGGTGTGGTGTGGTGCTGAAAAAAATGTATATTCTGTTGATTTGGGGTGGAGAGTTCTGTAGATGTCTATTAGGTCTGCTTGGTGCAGAGCTGAGTTCAATTCCTGGGTATCCTTGTTGACTTTCTGTCTCGTTGATCTGTCTAATGTTGACAGTGGGGTGTTAAAGTCTCCCATTATTAATGTGTGGGAGTCTAAGTCTCTTTGTAGGTCACTGAGGACTTGCTTTATGAATCTGGGTGCTCCTGTATTGGGTGCATAAATATTTAGGATAGTTAGCTCCTCTTGTTGAATTGATCCCTTTACCATTATGTAATGGCCTTCTTTGTCTCTTTTGATCTTTGTTGGTTTAAAGTCTGTTTTATCAGAGACTAGGATTGCAACCCCTGCCTTTTTTTGTTTTCCATTGGCTTGGTAGATCTTCCTCCATCCTTTTATTTTGAGCCTATGTGTGTCTCTGCACGTGAGATGGGTTTCCTGAATACAGCACACTGATGGGTCTTGACTCTTTATCCAACTTGCCAGTCTGTGTCTTTTAATTGCAGAATTTAGTCCATTTATATTTAAAGTTAATATTGTTATGTGTCAATTTGATCCTGTCATTATGATGTTAGCTGGTGATTTTGCTCATTAGTTGATGCAGTTTCTTCCTAGTCTCGATGGTCTTTACATTTTGGCATGATTTTGCAGCGGCTGGTACCGGTTGTTCCTTTCCATGTTTAGCGCTTCCTTCAGGAGCTCTTTTAGGGCAGGCCTGGTGGTGACAAAATCTCTCAACATTTGCTTGTCTATAAAGTATTTTATTTCTCCTTCACTTATGAAGCTTAGTTTGGCTGGATATGAAATTCTGGGTTGAAAATTCTTTTCTTTAAGAATGTTGAATATTGGCCCCCACTCTCTTCTGGCTTGTAGGGTTTCTGCCGAGAGATCTGCTGTTAGTCTGATGGGCTTTCCTTTGAGGGTAACCCGACCTTTCTCTCTGGCTGCCCTTAACATTTTTTCCTTCATTTCAACTTTGGTGAATCTGACAATTATGTGTCTTGGAGTTGCTCTTCTCGAGGAGTATCTTTGTGGCGTTCTCTGTATTTCCTGAATCTGAACGTTGGCCTGCCTTGCTAGATTGGGGAAGTTCTCCTGGATAATATCCTGCAGAGTGTTTTCCAACTTGGTTCCATTCTCCACATCACTTTCAGGTACACCAATCAGACGTAGATTTGGTCTTTTCACATAGTCCCATATTTCTTGGAGGCTTTGCTCATTTCTTTTTATTCTTTTTTCTCTAAACTTCCCTTCTCGCTTCATTTCATTCATTTCATCTTCCATTGCTGATACCCTTTCTTCCAGTTGATCGCATCGGCTCCTGAGGCTTCTGCATTCTTCACGTAGTTCTCGAGCCTTGGTTTTCAGCTCCATCAGCTCCTTTAAGCACTTCTCTGTATTGGTTATTCTAGTTATACATTCTTCTAAATTTTTTTCAAAGTTTTCAACTTCTTTGCCTTTGGTTTGAATGTCCTCCCGTAGCTCAGAGTAATTTGATCGTCTGAAGCCTTCTTCTCTCAGCTCGTCAAAATCATTCTCCATCCAGCTTTGTTCTGTTGCTGGTGAGGAACTGCGTTCCTTTGGAGGAGGAGAGGCGCTCTGCGTTTTAGAGTTTCCAGTTTTTCTGTTCTGTTTTTTCCCCATCTTTGTGGTTTTATCTACTTTTGGTCTTTGATGATGGTGATGTACAGATGGGTTTTCGGTGTAGATGTCCTTTCTGGTTGTTAGTTTTCCTTCTAACAGACAGGACCCTCAGCTGCAGGTCTGTTGGAATACCCTGCCGTGTGAGGTGTCAGTGTGCCCCTGCTGGGGGGTGCCTCCCAGTTAGGCTGCTCGGGGGTCAGGAGTCAGGGACCCACTTGAGGAGGCAGTCTGCCCGTTCTCAGATCTCCAGCTGCGTGCTGGGAGAACCACTGCTCTCTTCAAAGCTGTCAGACAGGGACACTTAAGTCTGCAGAGGTTACTGCTGTCTTTTTGTTTGTCTGTGCCCTGCCCCCAGAGGTGGAGCCTACAGAGGCAGGCAGGCCTCCTTGAGCTGTGGTGGGCTCCACCCAGTTCGAGCTTCCTGGCTGCTTTGTTTACCTAAGCAAGCCTGGGCAATGGCGGGCGCCCCTCCCCCAGCCTCGTTGCCGCCTTGCAGTTTGATCTCAGACTGCTGTGCTAGCAATCAGCGAGATTCCGTGGGCATAGGACCCTCCGAGCCAGGTGTGGGATATAGTCTCGTGGTGCGCCGTTTCTTAAGCCGGTCTGAAAAGCGCAATATTCGGGTGGGAGTGACCCGATTTTCCAGGTGCATCCGTAACCCCTTTCTTTGACTCGGAAAGGGAACTCCCTGACCCCTTGCGCTTCCCAGGTGAGGCAATTCCTCGCCCTGCTTCGGCTCGCGCACGGTGCGCACACACACTGGCCTGCGCCCACTGTCTGGCACTCCCTAGTGAGATGAACCCGGTACCTCAGATGGAAATGCAGAAATCACCGTCTTCTGCGTCGCTCACGCTGGGAGCTGTAGACCTGAGCTGTTCCTATTCGGCCATCTTGGCTCCTCCCCGGACGCCCTATTCTTATAGTCGCCAGCACAGTAAATATCTTGATTGACAAAGGCAACTTGTGCCAAAAAGAATGTGCAGCAATCACAGGCCATTTAATCATGGTAAATATTTCAGTGATTTTTTTAAGTCTCTAAAATAATGTAAACATAAAAATAGTATTATCCAAAAAGTAATATTTCATTATTTGTTTAAATAAAATCATATTTGCATGGGGCAGTGATATAATCTGTATTGAGACTCTAATATCCTACAAATTTTATTTCTATTTTATAGAAAGAGCACATAATATTTCTTAAATTTCAGTTCTTTTTTGCTTTAGAGTATCTTTCATTTGGGGAACTTACAGTAATTTACCTATTCAGAAAATAATGACGCAGAGGCAGGAAGAGTATCAGGAATTTAGAGTATATTTGGCACAGCTAATTTGGATGCATCATATTAAAATGGGATGATCTGCTTTGGTAATGCTTTATCTATGCACGAGAAGACATCCATAGCTCACCACTACCTTCTACTTACTGTGGTTAGTTGGTAAAAAATTAAAGTTACTGAACCTTATGGTTTTTACCAATTTAGTTTATGTAGATGTGGTTTATCTCATGGAATTACATGTACTAAAGAAAATTAAAATTTAGGGGACTACGATGCCCAAGTGGTAGTATCCTCTACTTCTCTGGCTGTTCTTTAAATAACTATCTACCTACATTTATATTTGCTTCAAGAAAGGAGAAAATGAATTGTCTTTAGAGTAGTGTGTGTGTGTGTGTGTGTGTGTGTGTCTAAGTCCTAGCATAATCATTCATTGAATGAGAAAAATTAGTCCTGGAGTTCTTTTGTTAGCTTTAAATAATCACATATACCTACAATTGGGCTCTAAGCAAGGGTGAAATCCTATTGTTTGCAAATTTACATCCCTAATGTCAATCAAAATCTGATTAAATGAAAAACGTTGAACTGAGACCAATTCATGAAAGATTTTATATTTTTAAGAGATGTCCATTGCCCTTTGAAAATGTATATCACTTTTATATCAACAAATCTATGTTCTCAACAAATTATCTGATATTAGGAATATTAGGAAATTTGTAAATAGCATTGTATCAGCTTAGATTAGATACACTGATTCCCTCTAAAAGAATTGTCTATGCATAGCAAAAAGTTCACTGGAACAAATGTTATTGTCTGTTAAGGTCAATTCTTTTTAAAATAAACTTTCTTATCAACATGTAAATTGGTGAATATATCTTGCAAATAATTTTATTTTCCTGTGTGTTCTGTGCTCATAATGGTTTTTGTGTGTATATATGCATAATATTTACTTTTGATTATGGTTCTTATGAAGTATTTATACAGGTATACAAGTTCCATGTGTGTGCTTATAAAGCAATTTTTAAACTGTAGAAATCAGGAAGAGTTTAAACAATTTTTTTAGTTAGAAATGGATGGAACTTGATGTGTATTGTCAAGAAGTAAATGAGAATGCTTCCTTTTTTAAAGGAGATAATAGTGACTCTAAAAAAAGGCAAAACAAACTTCATGCCACTTGAGAGACAATAAAACACAGCTGTTTTCAGGTTGTGGCTAATGGTTCTAAATAACACGACCTCTGCCTAGTCAACAGCATGTTTTCTACCTAGGAAAACAATCTTGTCATTTATTTATAATTGTTTACTGCAGATTCTGCCGCTTGAAACTCAAGTTTAGTTGTATAAACAAATCAGCGTTCCTAGAACTCAACCCAGAGTCACGCGCATTTACTCTGTGAGTCCCGTCACGGTGAATTTCCAGCCAAATGCGCCCCTTTTATGGCTCTTATGGCTCGGAGGCCGCACCGGGCACGTTTGTGGAAGAATTCACTGCTGAATTGAAGTCCTTGATCAAGTAATTGAAGTTCAGGCAGAAAGTATCAAAGCGGGCGAGCAGTCTCCCGCTCGGGCCCTCTCTCGCGCTCTCTTCCGCGCGCCAGCTTCCGCAGAGGTGGCGGGGTCCGCGGGCCGCACGCCGGGCCCGGGCTTTGATTGCGGCGGGAAGTCCTCCGAGACATGAATGTTTCAGCGCGGCGCGCGAGGTGAGGGCCGCGCGTCCAGGTGTAAGCTAGCAGGTTGTCGCTGACATCTGTTTGCAGCGGCGGCAGCGGCCTCCCCATCCCGCAGCTAGCGGCCGGATTGTCAGCGGAGGTAGTTGAGAGCGGCAAAACCGTTTTGGTCTCACTCTCGCTGCCTGGAGGCCTGAAACACCAAAGGTAGGAGTCGGGGTGGACACAGCTGCGCTCCCAAACTTGCCTTAGGCACAAATAAGAGATCTAATGTAGTTTGACTCCGTTGCGGTGGGGAGACGAGGACAGAAAGCCACTTCAGAGACAACTTAACGCTGCAACATCTGCCGCCAAGTTTCCAGGGAGTGACAGGGGACAGCAGGTACAGATCGAAGTCTCCACATAAACAACCTCCATTAAGCCGTGGACTCTTTTGAAAGGCCTCCATCAAACATGCCGGAGTCCGCAGCAGGAGTTTGTTTGGTTTTCAAAGCAGTGTTTTGTTTTTCGCAGTAACAAGGTAATTTATAAATGATGCATTACCATGCGTTCTCCTTTTTGATTTGAAAAGAGAGAGTTAGAGAAGCAGAAAGGCAAAGAAAGAAGAAAGCGCAGCACTAGTTTTGGAGTAGTTCCACAAACCAATTAAATCTCCAAGGAGCTTCTTGGCTGTAATCGAGGTTATGTTAACCTTCAGAAGGCAGTCTCTCCTCACCAGCAAGCAGACATAAAAGTGTGTATACAGCGGTTGAAGAATCCTAGTAACACTCGTCAAGTACATCCACCATTTGTTTTTAAACTTTTAAGGTTTCTTATTACACGGAGATGAAATTAAATTAAATCTTTGCCGATGGATGTAATTTTTTACTAAAACAAAATTTACAAAATTGAATTGACTTTAACTAATTCCTATTCATAAAGACTTCATTCCTATAGTTACATATAAAAAATAAAATGTTAAGTCAGAAGTAAACAAACATTTTCTTTTTGGGCGGTTCTCCTCCTCTACTACCTACATTCAGCCAGAAACAAAAAATTCAAGAATGTGTTGACTTTTCAATGGAAATACTGCAAAAACTCCTTAATTTTGCACACGTAAATATGACATAATAGAATTGGTTACAATATTATCCTGATAAGAAAGAGCTCCTGGGAATGGTAAGATAATAAAGATTCTATAGTAACGTAAAATATTATCATTCGTAAAATTTAGGCTCCCTTTCTTGAGAAAAAGGAGAGATGCTGACTCAAAAGTATCCTTTGGAGAGGGAAGTAGCCAGGGAGCAATGGCCAAAGGGCAGATGGTAGTATGTAGCAAAGTTTTTATGTCTTGTTGAAATAAGCAACATAAATATTTTTCAGTATATTGAGAGGACTTTTGTCAGTTGTGCAGATGTAATTTCGTTTTTTTGAAATGATTGACGGCGATTGCTTTCTCAAGAATATTCAGTCTGACAGAACACTATCTCAATCCTCCAATTTTTTAAATCTACAGCAAAACCCACAAAAATATCAGAGAAGACAGGTTGCACAAGTTCATTTAAAAGGGACCCGAGAATCCTGATAACGTCAAAGGCAAAGGCTTTGGGCTCTACCTCTTGTTTACATCTCTAATTTCTAAATTTATGCTCGTGCCTTTCAGTCCTGCTTGTGAATTTTCAGGCTCACACTGGCCTTGCCCTTTTTAATGGTGGCTTCTTAAATGATTACAACCTTCTCAAGGATGGCTTTGTACTCCATTATGTTAACAAATCACCCAGTGCTTGGCACTCTTAAACCATGTCATCTTCAAATATAATAAGCATCTGGATGGTAGAGATTCTGCATCACACTGCCATTATGTTCCCATCACAGTTGCGAAGTGTAACCACTAGTGGGTCTTTCAGTGCAGATTGGAACCTTCACTCAATTGATTTGATGCTTCAAGTGTCTTCAGTACCTAGAATTATGCTGCTAATGACTGCATTCTTAAAAAAAATCATTAAAATATATGTATATTGATAGCCTGGGCTACTCAATATTATTACCCCAAAAATCATTGTTTTGAAAAAGGGCTACATTTTTAAATTTAGTTTTTAGTTTCCATCCAAATATTTTGTGCCATATAGCTGAACTTTGTAACAGATTTTAGGGGCTTTAGAAAAAATAACCCTTTATTGTAGCCTAATTGAGTCAGTCCTATCATGTATAAAATGCCCATGTATTTCTATTCATTTCCTTTTATATATTAAAGTGACAGAGTAGAAAATATAAAAATGTTTAAAAACTGTAAACCCATTGTTTACCTTTTATTTCTATAAGATCTGAAATTTGTTATAGTTTCTTTAGGGCGATTCTGATGCAACAAAGCTGGAAAAGAATACCACTAGTCTTTTCCGCTCTTTATATTATCTTTCATTATTATTATCTTTGGCCTTTACCTTTCAGGGCGTCTTTAAAATACCATCATATTCCATTTAAATTAATGGAAGTAATTAACTTCAGTTTATACATATTTGAAAGATAAATTTTTACTAGAATAATCCATCTCATGAACATGCCATTTTTACTACTATCCCACTGACTGTTTTAGGAGAGTGTGTATATATATATGAATGTGCATATAGCATGTTTATAACTATATATATGCATATATTCTTATAGGACATATTTGCTCACTGTGTATATCATGAACTGTTTCAGTGGAAAATAACAAATTCATGAAATAGAATGCTTTTTGATAACATTTCTTAGTTTCAATAAAATAATCTCTTAATTAGGTATATAAGTTGGCAAAAGTGTTGACTCAGTCTGGTTTCCTGAAGTGAAATGCAGAATATGCAAAATTTAATCATTTAAATTACCAAAAAATATATTTTTTTTCAAAGAATCTATAAACAGAACTTGGGTACTTAGTTGTCTCCCCTCCCCATATAGGCATTATTAGCTATTTAGTGGAGTCATATACATTTTCTGTATTAATTTCCAAGTTTAGATAAATATTTATCTTGAGTAAAATTTCATCAGCAACCTTTTGATAAACAAGAAACAAAAAATGATTAGTGTAAATACCTCTTCTCAATGCACTGGTTTTAGAAATGTAACTTCTTTTCATCATCATCAGTGAGCTTTGGCACTCTGAAAGAATACTTTTGGCTGAGTGTGGGGCTCACACCTGCAATCCCAACACTTTGGGAGGCAGAGATGAGAGAATCCCTTGAGTCCTGGAGTTTGAGACCAGCCTGGGCAACATAGGGAGACCCCGTCTCTACAAAAAATACAAACAAAATATTAGCCTGGTAGAGTGGAACATGCCTGTAGTACCAGCTACCCGGGAGGCTGAGGTGGGAGGATTGCTTGAGCCAGGGATGTCAAGGCTGCAGTAAGCCATGATCACACTATTGCACTCCAGCCTGGGTGACAGAGCAAGATCCCATCTTAAAAAAATAACAATAATTAAAAAAAGAATACTTTCAAAATGTCTTGGTGGTCCAGGACTAAACACATTATTTTCTGAGGCTCAACGTATGGCTGTGATGTAGAATCAATTAAATCATCCAATGGGGAGCAGAAATGTCAACACAGATACAATTTTAAGCTTTATTTTCCATTTTTTGGTTACTTTATGTATGGTTTTTATATACTTTTTATTACAGAGGCTTAAATATATATTTAAATAAATTACTATAATTTCTAATAATTTACAGAAATCTACATTATTCTACATGTGTTAAATACTCATTTTTAAATTTAGAGCTCAGAAGACCCAGTCCAAGGGGGGATACAGTGCATCTTTTTTGTAGACAGTTTGTTACTTAAATAGAATGCATTATGATGGTGCCTTTGTGTCTACCAGAACCCCATTTATAAGTTTAGTTTAAGGAAAGCTTTATAACTCAGTTAAGGAAATTGGCTTGAGTAGGAAGCTTTTATTGCCCCTTTATTCCTAAAAATGTACTTATAAATGCCTTTTCAACTTTGCTAAATATCTCTCATTTTTATTTATAAATAAAACACTAGGATTTGTATAACATAGAAGCTAATATATAGTAGTATGCAATAGTAATAATTATACTAAGTAATTTCTTTAAAAATTTTTCCATATAATTTTTATTTATATTTTCCACTAATTGTACTCTGAATCAAATTCCAACCTCTAACATTTAAGAATTTTGAAACTGATATAATTTTGAGTTATAAAATAAAAATAATTTATTTTTCAAACTTTGCAAATAACATAAAAAAAGAGAGAAGGAAACAGAAAATAAGGAGAAATGAAAGAATACCCCTGGACATTTGTTTACCATTTTATTTTTTCTGGCTTTGGGTTAACACTTTCTTAGTTTCAAATAATTACAAGTTTTTTTTCTCCTTATGCTTTTAAAAAACTTATAAAGTTGGGATAATTTCTACAAACTCATTGCCATTTCACAATAATTTTATTCTCTGATATACATCATCTCTTTCTCCTTAAAGAGCTCTTTTCACTTGGAAAATGTGGCAGAAAGATACTTTAGGTTCCCATAATGCTTCTTAGTAAGCAGGTTAGTATACTGAAAATAATACATCATATATATTAAATTTCATAATCATATCCAGTACTAAGCATACTTTTGTTTTGAATCATATTAGAGTTTTCTAATTTTTTTAAATCAAGCACTTTTGTTTTCTAGAGCCATTTCCTGACATGAATGATTTCTTAATAGTTAATTATGAATTCACTTTATTTTATTTAAATAGCTTTAAGGCGGAACCTAGTGCAGATTGGTGAGACATACACACAGACACATGCACATATGCCCATCTCAAATCTTAGTTGCCTAAAAGAGTTAGTAAGTCTGTAAAACATTTCAATAAAACGTTCAAATATCATGTTTACATACGTAGCATACAGATAAATTTCTGGAGTAAAGAGGGATTACTCTCCCATTATCTTTCTCTAATTCTTTCATTTCTCTCCCTTGTCTGACTTCCTAACATTGATTGAGGCTTCCACTGCTTTGTCCTCATTGTTAGAGACGTCGTTAGACATCATTCTTAGACAATGCGACCTTCCCTCTTGAATTCCACTTGCATGTCTCTGAGAGCTTATATGAATTTTCCGCTTTGACCCCCTGTTGTCACTACATTATCTGTGTTTAGCGGGACTTAGCCATTTTCCTCATGTATGTCTTTCAAATTGTAGTTATATAACTTTTCTCTCAGTCATTTGCTCTATCCCTCACCAGATGTATCTAAACTGAGGCCCACTAGACTTAAGCACACCATTGTGGTTCCCACAGCTCAGTGAGCAGGGTCAAGATTTTAACTTTCTAATTCTGGGTACAGTCTCCTATGCCATCAGATAACATAATTACCCTGTGATATGCATGAGATATTGATTTGAGGAACAGAATTTTGTCTATTATAGTTCCTCTTAGTTTTATTATAATTAAGAATATAAATTATAAGTTAATATGTGCATTAGATCCTAGTGATTCATAAGAGAGGTATCATTTGAATTTGTAGAATTTAAACATTTCTGTTATCTTTACTTGTTATTTTACTACTTATAAATTAAGCTACTGAGAAAAATAAGACAGAACAATTCTGAAATTTAACGTTTGAATTATTTTCTGCAAAAATGTGGCTAAGGATGATGATACAAAAAAATGTTATTTATAAGGGGCTAAAATTAGTCAGTTTGGATGATTAATTTTTAAATTATAATTAAATCTATTGAACATTTTCTGAATTATAAAAACATAACACAATCATTTTCCTTTAGGCTAAATTTTGAACAAATGAAGGCTTTTAATTTTTATTGTCTTTTTCAGAATTTTTTTTTGCTTGCAGTTGCATTTTTTTCATTTTTTAAAAACATTTGATCTTTATTTCATATTCTATTTAAGAAAAATTTTCAATGATCGGAATTCTTGTGAGATCTGTATTTGTCCTAGCCAAATCATATATTTTAATGTTAATTAATCTTTTGCATAATCATCTATGGTGCTGGCCTATATGTGGCTTATGTTAGCTCTGAGTGCCTCATTAGTCCAGTTTACAGAAACACTGGCTCTTCTCAACAAACAGTGAGAAGAGAATTTAATTCAGTTACTACTCTTCAGAAGAGGTGGGACGGTTTTAACTGTCCTCCGAATCCAGATTTATGAACTAGTCTTATGCTCTTAACTAGATTAGTTCCTTTTCCATTAACTGCTTAAAGTAGGACAGCTGTCCGAGCTGTTGGTTGTAAATTTGCCAGTGTCTACTTCCTTAATCTCAGATACAAAAAGCAGCAGATAACAGGATCAAAGTTTCAGGACCTTCGTTTTTCACAGCCTGAAATGAGCATGGAGGGGCTCATGAATGAGAGATTGAAAAGATGTGAGGAAGTGTTACATTGGAGAAAAAGGGATGACTTCTGTCATTAATCTTAATTAATTGCTAAGAGTTTTAAATCTGAGTTATTAATACTGATGTTAAGCTCTTAATACACTTTTCATGCTCTGGCATCAGATACTCTTTTATGAGATAAGAAGTTTAGGAAGGAGAGAATGTGTGTGTGTGATAAAATATTTTCATTTACATATTTCAAATATTTCCTTGGGTTAATATTCAGAACTTCACCTTTTGACAGTTACTGTAGGGCAGTTAGGAATGATAGACAAGTACCAATAAATTCAAATAAAATCCCTAGGTATAGCAACAGCAGTAAATCTGAATAATATTACTTTCATGTTTACCAGCATACAAAATACTTCACTGAAGAGGAAACATCAGATTATGAGGTGATATAGAAGGAGAGAGAATCAAGAGCTAGAAAATGAGACAGAAAAGAAAAGGAAAAAAGATGAAGAATAGGGAAGAGATATTATTTTAATTAATAATTTGCAGGCAATAGGAAAATGAAGTGTCATTTAAATAATAAACTATAAATTATGTTTTTAAGGTTGTATATTTCACTATTGCAGCCCTAATCACTTGGAAGTAAACGGATTGAAACTTGAAATGACTAAACAGTCTTTTCTTAAAATTTTGTTTTCCTTCCCTTCCTCCCTGCGTTGCTGTTCCACTAATGTTTGTCTAGTTAATACCTTTTTACCATTAAGTCTATATTATTATTCTGTGATATTTTTCAATGTGAAATTGCAACTAACCATATTGTTTATGAGAATTTTGGCCACAAAAAATGGCTTCAAGGGGAAATCTTTAAAAAACAGATAAGGCTCTAAACTTCAAAAGTATGATTTTCGGATTATATCTCATGTTCTCCATTTATTTGGACAAAATAAAAAGAAAAGCTCTGTCATGAAAATATAGAGCACACTGAATTATTTTAGTATTTACACATATATCTTACCTCTAATGACAGTGAAGTAAATTTCAGTAGTAAAGTATAATCAGTAGCTTAGATATTCTTAAGTTTTCTACAAATTTAAAATCACAAATTTGGCTTTGAGATACATTATACTTTTCTTTTTGCAGCAATGTTTTCTTCCTTTAATGATTATCTTTAAATGTAAGTAGGAAAACATACAAATGAAACAGTGTTCATTTGTTTCATTTATCAACCCATTTATTTTTGTACCTATTAATTAATTATTGAAGATGCAAAAATCTGCAGGCATTAAGGATTTAGATTTTATTTATAGTCTGTGGATAATAACAGCTTTGAATTGGACAATAACATGATGCAAAAGAAGTTAGAATTAGACTCTTGGAGGGTTCTCAAATTTGTAAAAGGAATGGAAATAATATGTGTTTTCCTGAGTAGCTTAGCCCTATCTCAATGTTTCTGCCTTTGTAGATAGTCTTTCATTATGGGCTCCAAAAGGAATCACATAAAAATTATGATATAGCAGGTCATATTATATGTGATATAACTGGTCAAATTGGTGGATTTGGTGGATTGTCAAGTGGTCAAGTGGATTCTTAGGTGAAAGAACACTTTTTTCCTAATATAAATCCACTCTGTTTTTTAGAACACAAATTTAGGTTCATTAACTGAAAAACAGGGATTATTGGCTTCAGCTATTTTTCTTGATTTGCCCGGGGTCTCCTTCCTTGCTTCTTGGGAATAAAACTTGGGTTTCCAATACTTCCAATGCTTCTATGAGTGTGTGTGTGTGCGCGCGCATGCATATACTTGTGTGCATGGTGATGTTTGTGTCTAATGGGAGGTAGCAAGGTATTGTAGTTGTTGAGGGAACTCATAATTTCAGGAGAGGGGAGTATACTTTATTTTTATAGAGAAGGGTCAGAACTCCGATTCAGCTAACAGTCACTGAGCACCTACTATGTCTTATGTATGTTTAATTATCACATTTTTGTCCTATCTGTGTTGAGTCGGTGTCATACTGTTCTCATTTAACAGATGAAGAATATGAGATCTAGAGATGATTGGTGAATTTCCCAAGGGTACATTGCCGAATGTAACAGAATCTAGATTGAGAGTCAGGTTTTAAAATCCAGTGAACGCTCGTTATTCCATGCTGTCATTTTACAGTGCAGCTCTTGATTCCTCTACCTATTCAGGCAATAACTGACTGACTTAGGGCAATTATACATGTAGGGAAGCACTTTTGAATTTCAGTTTTGAACCTGATTCTTCTGGTGCCTGGGTTATCAACTGTGTATCTGTGTTTTTACTGATACACATATATTTGACATATATTCAGAATGCATGCATATTACTCTATAATACACATACACAACATACATTTAATTATATAGGCATCTATAAATAATATTTAATATTTAGAAGTGGCAATAAATTCTACAGCAAGTTTATACAGAATAAGGAATTTTTACATCACAAGAAACCTTAGAAGTTGTGTAATTCAACCCCTTCGTATACTGCAACTTCCATCCCTACTTCAGTTCTCTCCAAGAGGGACAAGCGTGTTCAAAAGCACAAGAGGGATGAACTAGCTTATATATTCCAGGAATTGCACATTGCTTTTCAAACTGTAGCAAGAGATTGGCAGCTGAGAAGGTGAGTTATGCAAGAGATTAGGAGCTGGGAAAGTGAGTTATAGGAAGGAAGAAAAATTAGAGCTATTCCTATAGCCCTTGGTGGCATATTGGAAAGAACACTGCATTGGGAGTCAGGGGAGTTGGGATCTCGATACTGTCATTTATCAGCTTCAGTCCGGCGCAAATTTTCTAAACCTTCTGGTCTTCGGTCTTCTCATTTGTGTATAGAAAAATAAATGATCAAAAAGTTACCTTTGAATTCTAGCAGTCTTGTTTTTTTAAAAAAATCTAATTTCAACCAACCCAGCTCTATGAATATGATATTTTTCCTATGCTCATAAGGGTATTCCCAAAACCCTGCACATTGCCCTCAGAGAGGAGGCCTTAACAATATTTGAACAGAATAATTCATGCAGGTGGAAATTCTAACTTATTGTTTAGAATATGTTTAAATTAATTCATACTTTTTTTAGTATATAGACATTTCATGAGGCCAGCAATAATGAATAAATAAATATTTTACAAGTTACTATAAGACTAAAAAAATGGCATATATTCTGCATAGTATTTGAAAATATGTTCAAGGGACTATAAAAATACTATGATTCTAGATCCATAATGGATATCTTGCTACTGGTTACACTTTAAAATAATTTGAAAATAACTGCATATGAAAGAGAGTAAGGGAAATACAGATTTTAAGAGCTCTGTATATTTATTTAAATTTTATTCCAGTTTCCTCTCTATAAAATTTGTCTATTTCTCACTGATTTTCTTCTTTCAAAATAAGAAGAGATCAATGTGTGATATTAGATTATCTCCATTGTCATTTTGATATGCTGTATTTTGCTGTCTTGTGTCACAACTGTAAAATAATTTAAACACAAGCTATCATTTAATACTGTTATAAGCAAATGAGTACTAATGTGTTCTTGTCATTAAACACATATAGATACTGGAACTGTTCTCCCATTGGGTCACATTGAAATTGATTTTCCAACTTGACCTAACAATAATGGACAAATGTTAAATGAAAATCAATCACTTTTACTTAAATCAGCCTAATAGACTCATTTTATTAAGTGGTCTTTTTACCTGCAGCTAACTAGATGACAAATAACACTTGTCTAGCCTCTGACCTCTGGCCTCTGCCCTCCGGTCTGGCTTCTGAATGCGTTTAAAAAACCTCTCAGTACAGATCATGATTTTATTCTTATATGACATATTCTTTATTAATTAGATGAAAGTATATTTCAGATATTTTTTATAAATAGAACAAAATCCTGAATTAATATTATTTCAATCACAAATTCATTCTTTTTAAAATCTGGGGTCTTGCTCTCATCTGGGCTGGAGTCCAGTGGCACATTGCACAAGGCTCATTGCAGCCTTGAACTCCTGGGCTCAAGTGATCCTCCTACTTTAGCCTCCTGAGTAGCTAGAACTACAGATGCCTGTCACTGGGCCCAGTTTTTAATTACAAATTTTTAGGCCCTTAATATTTCAAATATTTCAAACATGTATCATGTTACTCTAATTATCAAAACATCTCACAGTAAAATATTTTTATTGCCATTTTAAAGATAAGGAAACTGAGACTTTAAAATGTCAAGTAAGTCTGGACATGGTGGCTCATACCTGTAATCCCAGCATTTTAGAAGGCCAAGGTGGGAGGACTACTTGAGCCCAAGAGATTGAGGCTGCAGTGACCCTGCACTTCAGCCTGGGCAACAGAGCAAGACCTTGTCTCAAAAACAAACAACAACTATATAGAGATCTCAAGTTGCCAGATTCATGCAGGTAGGTAGGTAATAAGTGGTATTAACTCTAACTTTAAATAGGTTATTGAAAAATTTAGTTCGTGTAAATTCTGCTTTATGTTTCAGAATTTATTGGTCAGTTTTCCAGAAAATTTACAGCAGTTTAGAGTTTAGTGTTTTAGTTATATTAATATGTTATAGGCCCAGGTGTTGAATTAAGAAAAATTTAACAATAAAATTGAAAAGGCCAACATATAAATGAGAAGTACTAGTGAACTATTTTTGTAACATAGGAATCACTAGTGAATATTTAAATATAATACATACAAAACATAAATATTAAGTATCTTAGTCATATTATTGTAAATATTGGCGTCAGAAAATTATTTGTGGATTGATTTTTAAGCACCTACAGATATTGTCCAGAGGCCAAAACTTAAGAATAATTATAAAGTTATATACTTTACTTAAAAAAAAGAAATATAATTAGTGGTAGAAAATAAATCAACATGTTAGTCTTAATATTAAAATATTAAAATTGATTGTCATTTCTAACCTGTAAAATCAAAGCAAAAGGAGTTCTATCTGGAGGCTAAGATTATGACACAATCCCAAATTATATATTTCAATTATCAAAGCTCTCAGATTTACTATGGAAAAGCCATCATTTTTAGTTTAGGATACTGTTGGCACAGTCATAATTTATTATTTATAATTCCCTCTTAAAATCTAGTTTTCAGAATCTTTCATCATTTTAGACTTCCGTTAAATTTACTGTGAATTTACTGTTTATTTCCCAGATCATTCTGAGAGCTTGAGCTCTTATTTTGATCTATGGAGCAACTGATTTCACTAATCAAATTTATTCTTTGATGTATCTGAAAATAGTGTGCCCAAAATCATCTTACAAAAATTCAATCCTGAAATGGTTTTTAAAGTCTTAATATCTCTTCAGGTACGTTAGTGAAAACTGAGGCAAATGGGCTGCCAGCTATTTTTTTGATGAGAAATCCTTAGTGTGTGAGTACTGGGAACTGAGGGTTGAGCATCTGGAGGTCGGCCTCCTCTTCAGTCTGCCTGCCTTCAACACTAGGTCCTGTGGTAGACACCTCAGTCCTTACATTCCCTATTTCACATGGAGGGGCCAAGGGTTCCCCATGATACAGCTGTCATAGAACTTGTTGTTTAGATGAGGCATCTTGAAAGACTTTCATGTTGTGGCATGCTAATATTATATAATATTTTGCTGAGAAAGAAAGTTTTATCAAATTATAAGAAATAGGAGGTTTCCTTTATTCCTAGGGCATCATTCTTTGTACTCTCTGTTGTATAAAATAATAATATTACTATTATTAATAATAATAAGATGGTTTTTATAACTGAAGGCATAAGAAAAATACCCATGTAAACTACATTTTAAGGCTTTTTATACTCTTTAGAGCAAACAGTTTTTCTAATCATTTATAAACATTTACTGCTTTGTTTCTGAAATCTTAGAAATAATAAACAAGTGAAATTTTGGATTAATTAATAGTATTAATGAAAATACAACATATTCTCTGTAAGATTACAGATGAATATTAAAACTTAAATTATAAGTGCTATAATTTTTCTTTTTGGCATGTTGGAGCATTTAACACATGAGCATTTAAACACATTTCTGACTTTTCTAAATTTTTGGTGAAAATATTTTCTAGTAAGATTAGACAAAGGAAAATGAGCTACAAGTTATCAACAGGTTCTCGAGAAAAAATTTTTTTCTTTAAAAAATCTAGTGAATACTAGATAATCCCTACCTGCTAGGAATTTATTACAGTCTAGATGTAGTGGGGGATAAAGAAAAGCCTCAAAAATTATAACCCAAAGCAGAGCAAGCAAAATGCAATTAACAAATAAAAACAGAAGATAAAACCAGTTGTATAGTCAAGATGGATTCTAATTAGAATCTAATCTAATTAGAATTATATATATGATATATATTTATATATAAACAGCAAATAGTTTATATATACCTATTATATATATTTGAAAACTCCACAATTATAATTCCACATCAAATAATTTTGGTGGTTTAAAAAAATTTGCTAGAATTAGGACATGATAGGCATAAAATAAAATTAGCCATTTTTTCCTGAGTACCCACTATTTTCAGGCAGTCTTTGAAACCCCAAAATATTTAATACATAGTTATCAACAAGTTTGTAATCTACTCAAAAGGGCAACAATCCACATATACAACGTAAAATAATGAAATATTTAAACATCAATTCAAGGAAGTAACAGAAGAGATTACACAAAAGTGTTGCCTAATTAATTTCTAAATGAATTGTCTGGACATTAATTGCTGTTTGAGTTATTAAGGAAGAATACTTCAGACCAAGAGGTAAGGTGAGGTTTTATAGAAGAGAGAGTTGAGTTAATCTTGAAGGATTTGTAGAGGTAGAGAAAGTAGGAACATTTACATTTGTTCTGGGACAGTGATTCAATTATTTTCTTTAGCAACTTTTGAGCTATATGTGGGGAAATAATAGAGAATAAATCTAAGTCCCGTTTGGTTGTTCTTTTTGTTGTTTTTTTTTTTTTGTTGTTGTTGTTTTTTGAGATAGAGTCTCTCTCTGTCCCCCAGGCTGGAATGCAGTGGCGCTATCTTGGCTCACTGCAACCTCCGCCTCCCAGGTTCAAGCAATTCTCCTGCCTCAGCCTCCTGAGTAGCTGGGATTACAGCTGCCACCATGCCTGGCTAATTTTTGTATTTTTAGTAGAGACAGGGTTTCACCATGTTGGCTAGGCTGGTCTCAAACTCCTGACCATGAGTAATCCCCTTCCCTCAGCCTCCCAAAGTGCTGGGATTATAGGCATGAGCCACCACGCCCAGCAGAGTCCTGTTCAGTTCTGGAGAATGTAGTATATTAGACTAGCACTTAGCTATGAATGTCCAACAAATATTTATTGCTGTTTCTCAACTTTAAAATTTTAAATAAATCTGTGTCCCATCAAACAAAAATATTTTATTGAATTTTGTTTTCTAATTTTGTACTAAGACTTCATGAAAACAAGTTGGGTTTTTTGTTTGTTTTATTTTGTTTTCCTACAAGTATTATCTTGGTGACAGGCAGTATACTCTTAGAAGGACTGAAGGTAAGAGCAGAAGGCAACTGGGCTAATGCAGGAACCACCTTGTTAGGGCCCCCATGAGACAGTAGCACTCCATCAGAATGGGACAATCTGAGTTGAAAGGGGGATGCTAGCAGGACTTGATTACTATGTGGAGCTAGGTGTGTAGCAGAGAAGAGAGGGAGAGGAGAGAGAACCTGAGGCTGGTTCCATGGAGTTCAGCTTGAAAGAAAATACTGGAAATGCTCAGTAGAAAGTTAGAAATACTGGATTTGGCAGGAACGTCAGGCTTGGACATGCACACTGAAGAGGCTTTTTTGATCATTCAAACTGTAGAGTGTTTAAGGGACTGAGGAACAGTCTGGTCTACTTTAATAATGAATATTTTCTCTCTCATGGGTCAAAAGTGGCATCTGTTTTGTTTTGTTTTTTAAAGTTTGAAATAGCACCTTGACGTCTTCTTGGCATAATGTTATTTTCCAATTCTTTGCCATTTTTGATAGCATGGAATGTACAAAAACTGAAGTATTGGAATAATCCACAATGGGAGTGGAGAGGGGAAAGAAGAAATAGTAGCTTTGGTTTGAAATGTTTTGAAGCTATTAAATTGCAGCAGCTATTTTCATAGCTTCTTTCTTTCAAGAGATACACTTTTGTAGCCACTGGAGATGTGGCCTTTTTTCTTCCTAAAATGGTGGAGGTTTTTGTAAATCGACAAGGGTAATAACTAAGAGATGAGGGTCTATGGGGTCTTAAGGGCCATTGTATCTGAAAAATGGGTGTTAAATAATGACATTTGTGAGGAATAGCACAAATAGTAACTATTAAATTCTTAAGTAGACTGCAGAAAGAATATGAATAGAGATGATATAGTAGTTTTGGGCTGTATTTCTTCAACTTTTTTAGGATTGATGATTCAGTGGTTTTAGGATGACTATTTAATTTAAAAGAAGTGAACAGATATTGAACAAAATAATAAATATTGAGTCAGAAATTTTTAGAAATTGAAGTTTTCTAATAGTTTTATAGATTTTATTATTCAAAGACAATAACGTTGATATGATAGCTGTTCTTGTCCCTTAATCATAAAATTTCAAATATAATCATCAGTTATATACTTTATTTTTAAAATATTGGATGATAATTAATAAACTATAGTATTTGTAAACTGATGTATTTGCAGCAAACATTTGCAAGAATGAAATGTATTTACTAGCAGAAAGTAATTTTAGGTAAAATTTGATCAACTTGTTCAGGGCGGAACTTGGCTTAGGAGAAAACTAAAATTTATTCCATACCTTCTACATGCCATCTATTTTGCATTCCTTTTCTTATTTAATCCTCATATGAAGTAGGCTTTCCACTATGTATGTTGGAGGTTAAAAAAGGTTAAACAGCTGGTAAGTTGTGACATTTAAACTCAGAGCTTCCTGACATCAAAGCTTCACTTACATTGGAGTTAGAAACTTAAAAAGATGATCTACCAAGAAATAAATTCTTGGGCCACTGAAGACACTGAGATTTGTTCAGTACATTTCTGTAAGCAATACTTATCATTTGTACTTTTTTAACCTGCCATATTAGCCTGTACTTTTCCAGGAAGACCATAGCGATAAGGATTATGACAGTATGGTCACCCACCTGGGACAGTGACAGCTGCTGCAGCTGAATCCAGTCCTTGTCATCATTAATGACCTGCATTTGACACTTTATCCTAGCCATCCTTGTTTAGTGTTCAATGTCTTGCATTGGAATAATTACTACCTGTCACCCTCTATTTAACAGATAACTCTTAGTCATCCCAAACATGTAAGCATCATGTCATAATGTGCCAAACCCATGTTATTTCTGTGTTCTCATCCTGTTTGTGGGTACTTGCGTCCTCTGTCTTTCCTTTTTTATAATGTTCAAATACATTTTATACCTAAATTGATGAATTTTCATTCTGCCACTCATATTAAAAGGATTTTTCTTCTTAGTTTTATAATAATAGCCAGACATTTATTAAGAGGTAATATTTTCTGAACATAAAGCATGGTCACTGGATTTAGAGTCTCTTTATCCTGTTAAAAATATTGGAGAGCTAAAGGAGAAATCAGAGAAAGGAATAATAGTGCTGACTCAAAGAAATGATGATGATGAAATTCAAAGTGTTTAAATCATGTACAGAGCATATCATAATGCCTACATTAAAGACTTTGCTTTAATTCAAAGATCTAGGTTACCTACAGAGACTTTTCTCTGTTTCTCTGTTTCTGTTTCTCCTCCTCCTCCTCCTTTCCTTCCTCCTCCCCTTCCTTCTCCTTCTTTGCATTTAGTTTGAAAGAGAGACAGGAGACAGACAGGCAGGGAATTCGCTAAGTTACTAAAGTGGAAATGGAAGAAACCTCCATCACGGTTTTAATCACGAATTTAAGTCATCATAATGGTGTATATTTATTGAATGGGTTTAGAAATTCTTTGTCTCAGAGATTGAAGGTTGAGACTTATTTTTAGATTTGTATAATCTTTGTTTTGCTTAAAACCCTATTCATAGGCATCTGTTATGGTTTATTTTACTTAGATGAGTTAATCTAAAATGTGCTTCTGAATTTCTGTGTATCTTAATTTGACACTTTAAGAAAACAAAATAAGTCATGCCTGAAATTTGGAGTAACACGTGTTGTATTTTTTATGTGACTTCAGCTTTATTTTCAAAAGTTCAGATTCAAATGTCAGCTTTTATATTTACGTGCTTATTGGTTTTGATTGAGTTATATAACCTGAGTCTCTTTTTAACAGCATTTTTCAACCAAGTCCTCTTATCTGAACCACAAAACAGAGAAGATAATTTGAGGGGGTATTTTCCCAATTCTCCTAAGGATGCCACATAACTAGCATAAGGCTTTGATGAGAAGTTAGTTTTTAATATATAACAGATGCCTTTGAGCACTCAGTCCTAATGTACTCATGGAATCCTGGTTAAGAAACGCTAATAGTTTAAAAAATAATTCCATCTTACATATTTTTTCCACTATTTCTATCATTAATTAAGAAAAAGTTTTGGTTTTGCAAGCTAGAAATGAGTACAGTCAACTAGCAATTTATTGTATTACTCGAAAAGGAGATTTCTATGAAGCTAAAATTAATTTCTCAAATACATACCTTCTGGATAAAGTATAATTTTATAACAGTAATGAAAAGGTAGGGCCAAAATCTGTTTTTACATGGGCTTATTCAAATCTATATTTGTGAAATTAAATTTATGAATACATTATGTTTGGGAAGAAGTCTTTTCCAGAGTTTTATAATATTTACTGACAAGGTACTTAAAAGTGGATACTAATTATTGTGCATGTCTATACATTTTTGCAATAAGTTGTGTTATCACTCAAAAGTGACCTTGTTAGTGAGGGGAAAGGCAAGAGAGATGTATAGTGCCTCTTGAGAGCAAGTGGAGTGATGCGTATCAGGAGAAGACACTAAAGATTTATTGTCTGTGGCAAAGGAAACACAGGTCTCTGCTTGTGCAGTAAGTGTTTTTGACATCACCCACAGTAAAGGGTGATTGGAGGCTATAGGTCAGAAAATGTTCTGCTGGGGCAAAATAAAAAACTTTTTTTTTAACACTATGAGTTTGTCTTGCTGTTTCATCTTTGTAGCACTTAAAATATGAATGATGGTCATGCCAAACCAATCCTTGTTGTGAATAGGACCTTGCTACCCAAATAATCAGATTTACCTCACTGAACTAACATGCAAGAACAGATTCAGTTATAAGAGGGGGTAGCAATACAAAGCAGAATAATTACTTTTTTCTTTCAATTTCATATTTTGCTTATGAAAACTTTATTTCCTGTTTACATGAACTAGCTTAAAAACTGATAAATGGTTCATTTAGCCTTAAATTTGAAGGAAAACTATTCTAATGGGAAGAACTGAAGAACTGCGAGTAGCTTATCTTAATGCCCTTAAAACAGCTTCGTCTGACTGAGAAGTAAGGACTTTGATTCATTTAATACAGCTGGGTTCCTATTTGCTTCTGGCCAAAAGAAGCAGGTAGCTTAAACACAGAAGAGATTCACAGCAATTTGGATTATTACCTACATGGGCATTTAAATCTTCAGTAAGAAAAGATAAAGCATGGTTTCCCTTCTGTTTTGTATGTTATCTAGAGCCTAAGGTTTTAGGATTAGTACCCTTAGCTCATAGGATATAAACTGTATGGTATATATTTTTCTATAACTTTAGGTAACAGCAACCATTCTAAACAAATAAATGTCTCCAATTAAAAACAAAAACAGGGAGAATTTGTTGGTTCATCACCTATTCGTGTTTTTCTTATAAATGTATTTTATTAAAAGTGTTTTGATTTTCTCGAATTGATACAATATAACTGTAGTGGGTACTATGATGTGCTACCAGATACCCCTGCAGGATGGAGACACTCATTCCCTCATGCCAGAAGAGTTGGCTACTGACAATTTGCAGTTGAGCCCCTCTTCAGGAAATTCCCCTCCACCCAAGATTACAGCCCCTGCCTGGGGCTGCCCATATTCAATGATTGATTGATGTGAGATTGCAATGGTTGGCCTCCTGCCCTAATTAAGAATAGCTTGAAAGGCCATTCCAGCTCCAGAGCTTACCCGGGATTGGCTGAGACCTCTGTTACCAATGTGACACAGTCCAAATTCTCCTTTTGCCAAATCCTACTGCATTTCACAGAAATGGGTTGTTTCTGAAAACTTACCTCATTAAACTTCTCACACACAAATCTTTGTCTTAGAGTTTGTTTGCAGAGGCACACGACCTAACTTAGTAACCCATGTTACTATCTTGGCATACCTAGATTCCAATTCCTGGTTGTACTTTTTACTAACCTTGTGCCTTGAAGCAAATTTTCAATCTTTCTAAACTTCCTTTTCTTCTTTTAAATATTTTAAATGGGGATCGTTATATAACAACACTTACCTCATGTGGTTGTTTGAAGATTAAATGAGATAATAAAGCATAAAGTTCAGTGACTAAAACTTGGAAGGTTTTTAATAAATATTTGTTATTATTAGTTTTACCATGCTTACAATTATAATTCAAAAATTTGTATCTCTATTTCTCTCTGTCACCTTCATCTTACATTTTACCATTTTACATCTTCTACTTTGAAAAAACTTACTTTCTCTGCTTTCAGCTTTTTTAAAAAAAAATTTAGGACCATTATTCAGTGAGCATATCTGGGGCATATATTTATTTGTAGGAACAAATATATTAAAGTAGGGCATATTGTGATGGCTAAAATACATTTGATTTAGATTCTAGTTGGTTTAATTTAGACCTTTCTGACTCTGTGGGGCTCCTTCATCCATTCTCATCATATCAGAGGTGGGATGACTAAATCTTCTAGAGAAAGATGTCAAATGAATACTATAAAAGAATTCTGAATGGCTGTGATACAAAGGTATCTAACAAAAGCTATGTATTTTGGTTTCAACTTGTATTGGAGCTCTCAAGTCAGAAAATATAAAATTTCTTTCAGCTTTATTTTATGTTATATAAACTCCCTGCTTTATTTTTTGTGAGATTTAGATACGTTAATACCTGTGAAACACTTAAAAGATTGCCTGGCATAGAGTAAATGCATAAGAACTATTTTAGCCATTGATAACAATACATAAACAATCAGTGAATTTCTTCTAATAAAATGATGTAAGATGAATGATGGTTGCAATGAAAATCTGAAAGCTGAAATTGAAATGGGAATTTTAAAGGATAAGATTATTCCAGGGTTAGGTTAGCTATTGCTAAATAACAAAACTTAGGGCATGTTCCTAAAAAAGAGATTTCCATACTAGATTTTTGTACATATTGCTTAACCTACTTAGTGTTCTTCTATTGGGCAAGAAATTGATGCATATTTGCTTTCTCACCATTGCCTTCAGTGAACAATTTTTTATATAAGAAATGTGGCAGAAAGGAAAAGGCACATCATACTCATTAGTTAAATAACTCTGGTATAGAAGAATCTATCTCCAGTAAAGCTGTTTGAAATCAACCCCAGATCATGAGTTAAATAATTCGGGTAATATTTTTAAAAACATGAATTTTTCTGCTTCAAATGCATTTATGCTTGATTTTAGAAAACTTAGAGTAGAAAATTGAAGTGTTGTTAGGCAATTACAAAACAACTCTGTAATTTTAATTAAATTTCTTTATCTTCCTGTTCGCAGGCGTCACTTTGTATGCTGAAAGCTCAAACTCTAGGGAGAAAACATTGGGGTAGAAAGGAGATTCAAAAGGGCAGAAGAGTCTGCCAGCAGTGGTGGACATGCTTAATGTATTTAAAAGATTAATGGGCTATTGAAATTAAAATTGCCAGCACAAAGCATGTTGTACCAAACTCACAAATATATGTGTACCAACCATATGGGCTACAGCTTAGACCAATGGCTTACTTTTATATTGTGACAAGCATAGTATAGGCAATTTTTTTTTATTGTGAATGCTGAAAAAAATACCTTTTATTTGTCACACAAATTAGAACTATACACAAGTATAAGAACTCATGTTCACATTTTTCCCCCAAGCAGTGCAGTACATCATGTTTTTGGTGTGGTGCCAGAATATGATATTGTAAAAATCTGAACATTTTTCTCCTACTACAGCAGTTTAAAATGGTCTTGTAATTTAATGGTTTTTAATAAGTATAACAGTAATAATTATTCCTATATATAATACAATATTTTAGTCACAATGGATAACAAAGTAGCAATACTTAATGTAATGTGTTACTTTTTCAGCATTATTTAAATTTTTCTGTAGGGGCTGAATTAGTTATAGAGAGCTTGGCATGAAAATGCAGAGGCATTTAGAGTACATTTAATAGACTTGAATTCTAGAGCTCTTGCCTCTTCTGCCTTTCTGTCACTGTTCTCTGCTTCACAAAGATATCCTCTAGAGTAAAATATTTTGTAATTTGTATGAGCAGCACTACCAATGATATTAGGCTTTGCAAAGCCTCTGGAAGGTTTTAATTAGCTTGATTCAAACTCAGGAATGAATGACACTCTGCCTTCAGACTTAGCAAGAGAACTTGCCATTTTGTTCAGTGTCCTTTCCTTTTCAACATCTTCATCTAAATGGTCAATAATTATGTTTATAATCAAACTCATGATAACTTTTGCAAAGTGTTGAAATATCCAGTTCCTAGAAATGAGGAATGGATAGGGCAGTCATTTATGATTAAAAACTAGATAAAGCAGTAACCAGACATCAAAATATTTCTTGTTTTTGCTTAAAAACAATTATTTAGTATTCTTAGGGGGTTTTATTTTTTATTTATTTTTTTTTTTATTATACTCTAAGTTTTAGGGTACATGTGCACATTGTGCAGGTTAGTTACATATGTATACATGTGCCATGCTGGTGCGCTGCACCCACTAATGTGTCATCTAGCATTAGGTATATCTCCCAATGCTATCCCTCCCCCCTCCCCCGACCCCACCACAGTCCCCAGAGTGTGATATTCCCCTTCCTGTGTCCATGTGATCTCATTGTTCAATTCCCACCTATGAGTGAGAATATGCGGTGTTTGGTTTTTTGTTCTTGCGATAGTTTACTGAGAATGATGGTTTCCAATTTCATCCATGTCCCTACAAAGGATATGAACTCATCATTTTTTATGGCTGCATAGTATTCCATGGTGTATATGTGCCACATTTTCTTAATCCAGTCTATCATTGTTGGACATTTGGGTTGGTTCCAAGTCTTTGCTATTGTGAATAGTGCCGCAATAAACATACGTGTGCATGTGTCTTTATAGCAGCATGATTTATACTCATTTGGGTATATACCCAGTAATGGGATGGCTGGGTCAAATGGTATTTCTAGTTCTAGATCCCTGAGGAATCGCCACACTGACTTCCACAATGGTTGAACTAGTTTACAGTCCCACCAACAGTGTAAAAGTGTTCCTATTTCTCCGCATCCTCTCCAGCACCTGTTGTTTCCTGACTTTTTAATGATTGCCATTCTAACTGGTGTGAGATGATATCTCATAGTGGTTTTGATTTGCATTTCTCTGATGGCCAGTGATGATGAGCATTTCTTCATGTGTTTTTTGGCTGCATAAATGTCTTCTTTTGAGAAGTGTCTGTTCATGTCCTTCGCCCACTTTTTGATGGGGTTGTTTGTTTTTTTCTTGTAAATTTGTTTGAGTTCATTGTAGATTCTGGATATTAGCCCTTTGTCAGATGAGTAGGTTGCGAAAATTTTCTCCCATGTTGTAGGTTGCCTGTTCACTCTGATGGTAGTTTCTTTTGCTGTGCAGAAGCTCTTTAGTTTAATTAGATCCCATTTGTCAATTTTGTCTTTTGTTGCCATTGCTTTTGGTGTTTTGGACATGAAGTCCTTGCCCACGCCTATGTCCTGAATGGTAATGCCTAGGTTTTCTTCTAGGGTTTTTATGGTTTTAGGTTTAACGTTTAAATCTTTAATCCATCTTGAATTGATTTTTGTATAAGGTGTAAGGAAGGGATCCAGTTTCAGCTTTCTACATATGGCTAGCCAGTTTTCCCAGCACCATTTATTAAATAGGGAATCCTTTCCCCATTGCTTGTTTTTCTCAGGTTTGTCAAAGATCAGATAGTTGTAGATATGCGGCATTATTTCTGAGGGCTCTGTTCTGTTCCATTGATCTATATCTCTGTTTTGGTACCAGTACCATGCTGTTTTGGTTACTGTAGCCTTGTAGTATAGTTTGAAGTCAGGTAGTGTGATGCCTCCAGCTTTGTTCTTTTGGCTTAGGATTGACTTGGCAATGCGGGCTCTTTTTTGGTTCCATATGAACTTTAAAGTAGTTTTTTCCAATTCTGTGAAGAAAGTCATTGGTAGCTTGATGGGGATGGCATTGAATCTGTAAATTACCTTGGGCAGTATGGCCATTTTCACGATATTGATTCTTCCTACCCATGAGCATGGAATGTTCTTCCATTTGTTTGTCTCCTCTTTTATTTCCTTGAGCAGTGGTTTGTAGTTCTCCTTGAAGAGGTCCTTCACATCCCTTGTAAGTTGGATTCCTAGGTATTTTATTCTCTTTGAAGCAATTGTGAATGGGAGTTCACCCATGATTTGGCTCTCTGTTTGTCTGTTGTTGGTGTATAAGAATGCTTGTGATTTTTGTACATTGATTTTGTATCCTGAGACTTTGCTGAAGTTGCTTATCAGCTTAAGGAGATTTTGGGCTGAGATGATGGGGTTTTCTAGATATACAATCATGTCGTCTGCAAACAGGGACAATTTGACTTCCTCTTTTCCTAATTGAATACCCTTTATTTCCTTCTCCTGCCTGATTGCCCTGGCCAGAACTTCCAACACTATGTTGAATAGGAGCGGTGAGAGAGGGCATCCCTGTCTTGTGCCGGTTTTCAAAGGGAATGCTTCCAGTTTTTGCCCATTCAGTATGATATTGGCTGTGGGTTTGTCATAGATAGCTCTTATTATTTTGAAATACGTCCCATCAATACCTAATTTATTGAGAGTTTTTAGCATGAAGGGTTGTTGAATTTTGTCAAAGGCTTTTTCTGCATCTATTGAGATAATCATGTGGTTTTTGTCTTTGTCTCTGTTTATATGCTGGATTACATTTATTGATTTGCGTATATTGAACCAGCCTTGCATCCCAGGGATGAAGCCCACTTGATCATGGTGGATAAGCTTTTTGATGTGCTGCTGGATTCGGTTTGCCAGTATTTTATTGAGGATTTTTGCATCAATGTTCATCAAGGATATTGGTCTAAAATTCTCTTTTTTGGTTGTGTCTCTGCCCGGCTTTGGTATCAGAATGATGCTGGCCTCATAAAATGAGTTAGGGAGGATTCCCTCTTTTTCTATTGATTGGAATAGTTTCAGAAGGAATGGTACCAGTTCCTCCATGTACCTCTGGTAGAATTCGGCTGTGAATCCATCTGGTCCTGGACTCTTTTTGGTTGGTAAACTATTGATTATTGCCACAATTTCAGAGCCTGTTATTGGTCTATTCAGAGATTCAACTTCTTCCTGGTTTAGTCTTGGGAGAGTGTATGTGTCGAGGAATGTATCCATTTCTTCTAGATTTTCTAGTTTATTTGCGTAGAGGTGTTTGTAGTATTCTCTGATGGTAGTTTGTATTTCTGTGGGATCGGTGGTGATATCCCCTTTATCATTTTTTATTGTGTCTATTTGATTCTTCTCTCTTTTTTTCTTTATTAGTCTTGCTAGCGGTCTATCAATTTTGTTGATCCTTTCAAAAAACCAGCTCCTGGATTCATTGATTTTTTGAAGGGTTTTTTGTGTCTCTATTTCCTTCAGTTCTGCTCTGATTTTAGTTATTTCTTGCCTTCTGCTAGCTTTTGAATGTGTTTGCTCTTGCTTTTCTAGTTCTTTTAATTGTGATGTTAGGGTGTCAATTTTGGATCTTTCCTGCTTTCTCTTGTAGGCATTTAGTGCTATAAATTTCCCTCTACACACTGCTTTGAATGCGTCCCAGAGATTCTGGTATGTGGTGTCTTTGTTCTCGTTGGTTTCAAAGAACATCTTTATTTCTGCCTTCATTTCGTTATGTACCCAGTAGTCATTCAGGAGCAGGTTGTTCAGTTTCCATGTAGTTGAGCGGCTTTGAGTGAGATTCTTAATCCTGAGTTCTAGTTTGATTGCACTGTGGTCTGAGAGATAGTTTGTTATAATTTCTGTTCTTTTACATTTGCTGAGGAGAGCTTTACTTCCAACTATGTGGTCAATTTTGGAATAGGTGTGGTGTGGTGCTGAAAAAAATGTATATTCTGTTGATTTGGGGTGGAGAGTTCTGTAGATGTCTATTAGGTCTGCTTGGTGCAGAGCTGAGTTCAATTCCTGGGTATCCTTGTTGACTTTCTGTCTCGTTGATCTGTCTAATGTTGACAGTGGGGTGTTAAAGTCTCCCATTATTAATGTGTGGGAGTCTAAGTCTCTTTGTAGGTCACTCAGGACTTGCTTTATGAATCTGGGTGCTCCTGTATTGGGTGCATAAATATTTAGGATAGTTAGCTCCTCTTGTTGAATTGATCCCTTTACCATTATGTAATGGCCTTCTTTGTCTCTTTTGATCTTTGTTGGTTTAAAGTCTGTTTTATCAGAGACTAGGATTGCAACCCCTGCCTTTTTTTGTTTTCCATTGGCTTGGTAGATCTTCCTCCATCCTTTTATTTTGAGCCTATGTGTGTCTCTGCACGTGAGATGGGTTTCCTGAATACAGCACACTGATGGGTCTTGACTCTTTATCCAACTTGCCAGTCTGTGTCTTTTAATTGCAGAATTTAGTCCATTTATATTTAAAGTTAATATTGTTATGTGTGAATTTGATCCTGTCATTATGATGTTAGCTGGTGATTTTGCTCATTAGTTGATGCAGTTTCTTCCTAGTCTCGATGGTCTTTACATTTTGGCATGATTTTGCAGCGGCTGGTACCGGTTGTTCCTTTCCATGTTTAGTGCTTCCTTCAGGAGCTCTTTTAGGGCAGGCCTGGTGGTGACAAAATCTCTCAACATTTGCTTGTCTATAAAGTATTTTATTTCTCCTTCACTTATGAAGCTTAGTTTGGCTGGATATGAAATTCTGGGTTGAAAATTCTTTTCTTTAAGAATGTTGTATATTGGCCCCCACTCTCTTCTGGCTTGTAGGGTTTCTGCCAAGAGATCCGCTGTTAGTCTGATGGGCTTTCCTTTGAGGGTAACCCGACCTTTCTCTCTGGCTGCCCTTAACATTTTTTCCTTCATTTCAACTTTGGTGAATCTGACAATTATGTGTCTTGGAGTTGCTCTTCTCGAGGAGTATCTTTGTGGCGTTCTCTGTATTTCCTGAATCTGAACGTTGGCCTGCCTTGCTAGATTGGGGAAGTTCTCCTGGATAATATCCTGCAGAGTGTTTTCCAACTTGGTTCCATTCTCCACATCACTTTCAGGTACACCAATCAGACGTAGATTTGGTCTTTTCACATAGTCCCATATTTCTTGGAGGCTTTGCTCATTTCTTTTTATTCTTTTTTCTCTAAACTTCCCTTCTCGCTTCATTTCATTCATTTCATCTTCCATCGCTGATACCCTTTCTTCCAGTTGATCGCATCGGCTCCTGAGGCTTCTGCATTCTTCACGTAGTTCTCGAGCCTTGGTTTTCAGCTCCATCAGCTCCTTTAAGCACTTCTCTGTATTGGTTATTCTAGTTATACATTCTTCTAAATTTTTTTCAAAGTTTTCAACTTCTTTGCCTTTGGTTTGAATGTCCTCCCGTAGCTCAGAGTAATTTGATCGTCTGAAGCCTTCTTCTCTCAGCTCGTCAAAATCATTCTCCATCCAGCTTTGTTCTGTTGCTGGTGAGGAACTGCGTTCCTTTGGAGGAGGAGAGGCGCTCTGCGTTTTAGAGTTTCCAGTTTTTCTGTTCTGTTTTTTCCCCATCTTTGTGGTTTTATCTACTTTTGGTCTTTGATGATGGTGATGTACAGATGGGTTTTCGGTGTAGATGTCCTTTCTGGTTGTTAGTTTTCCTTCTAACAGACAGGACCCTCAGCTGCAGGTCTGTTGGAATACCCTGCCGTGTGAGGTGTCAGTGTGCCCCTGCTGGGGGGTGCCTCCCAGTTAGGCTGCTCGGGGGTCAGGAGTCAGGGACCCACTTGAGGAGGCAGTCTGTCTGCCCGTTCTCAGATCTCCAGCTGCGTGCTGGGAGAACCACTGCTCTCTTCAAAGCTGTCAGACAGGGACACTTAAGTCTGCAGAGGTTACTGCTGTCTTTTTGTTTGTCTGTGCCCTGCCCCCAGAGGTGGAGCCTACAGAGGCAGGCAGGCCTCCTTGAGCTGTGGTGGGCTCCACCCAGTTCGAGCTTCCCGGCTGCTTTGTTTACCTAAGCAAGCCTGGGCAATGGCGGGCGCCCCTCCCCCAGCCTCGTTGCCGCCTTGCAGTTTGATCTCAGACTGCTGTGCTAGCAATCAGCGAGATTCCGTGGGCGTAGGACCCTCCGAGCCAGGTGTGGGATATAGTCTCGTGGTGCGCCGTTTCTTAAGCCGGTCTGAAAAGCGCAATATTCGGGTGGGAGTGACCCGATTTTCCAGGTGCGACCGTCACCCCTTTCTTTGACTCGGAAAGGGAACTCCCTGACCCCTTGCGCTTCCCAGGTGAGGCAATGCCTCGCCCTGCTTCGGCTCGTGCACGGTGCGCACACACACTGGCCTGCGCCCACTGTCTGGCACTCCCTAGTGAGATGAACCCGGTACCTCAGATGGAAATGCAGAAATCACCGTCTTCTGCGTCGCTCACGCTGGGAGCTGTAGACCGGAGCTGTTCCTATTCGGCCATCTTGGCTCCTCTCTTAGGGGGTTTTAAAAACACTATCACAGTGCTGGGTACATAATTGATGCTCAATATATACATAAGCATTCAAGTTGTTACCTTGTTAGTGACACATAACATTTTATGATTTATTTATTTCTAGTTTAGATAACGGAACAAATCTGTTTGAGTATGGTACTATATACCCTGATAGACAGTACCTCTCTCAGGGTAGATACAAATTGCAAATTAGAGTTGGGAAAAAGTGGCCCAAGCAAGTGGCACAAAAAGTCACTTGCAGATAAAAAGCTTTCTGTGAGTATGTTACAGTGAAACTTTCAATGAAGATATGTCCAAATGCAGTTAATCAGAAACCAGCCAAACTAGCCTAAACATTTATGGATATTACAAACATTCTTCCAAAAATTTTTTTTCTTCTGCTCAATTTTGTGCTGTTTTAAATGATTATATGTAATTAATTTTCAAGGAACTTAGTTGAGCCAAATGTGAATCTTTTGAGGTTTTCCTATTGCTAGCAATTGCTTCATTAAGAATATGAAATAGGCACCTGGTTTTTTTAATGCTACTGTTGAGAATACAGTGAATGAGTCCTATTTATAACTGAATTAAAAGCTTAATTAAGTTTATGAGTGTTTTAAAACTGTATAAAGTTAATGCTAATGTATTTATTAAAAGTAAAAATTATTAATACATTTTTCTTCTTTGCAACAAAGATTAAAATGAAAAATGCTTTAAAATGATTGAATGAATACATAATCAATTATCCATTGCTTGCTGACTTTCTGCCTAGCATTATACAAGTGATAGAAAAAAATAGAAAATATAAGTGTAGTTTTTACCATTGGTTAGTACAGTGGTAGAGTGTAGTACCTTTAGTGTGGTACTACTAGTGTAGTACCATTGTACTAGGTGGGAATGATTATAAGCACAAAAAAGGTGATTATAACCCATAGTGCAATTAATAATCAGAACTTAAAGTGAATTAGTTTAAATATTGTGCAGTAATTTTTAAATTAATTGTTTTCTAATTATTTCATGTGTTAGTCTTTTCTTCTTCCCTTTTACGTTTAATAAAGGATTTTTTTTATTTCTTTTGCATTATTTCCCAGTCCCTGAGACCAACTTGAATACTGTTGAAATATTTCACTAATTTCTCCCATCAGGAATTATACCTAAGCTTTTATGAGGACATAAATTACCTTGAAAGAAAAGGAAACTTTTGGAGAATTAGAAAAATGTGAGAATGTTTTGATTGTTCATTTAGGTTTTGGTTGTGAGATGAAGGAGAAAACTTGCATAGGAAGTACCTAAGCAGAGTTCTAATGCAGTGCAACCAGTTTTAGTGCTAGGTTGTGAAGGAGAATAGTAATGGTTTTGAAAGAGAGTAGCTAAGCTCTGATGACAGGAGGTCTGAAAATAAGACAGTTAAATAGCATTTTGTCATTTAAAAATTTATCTGAATAGAGATCAATTAAATATTCTGCAAATAAGAATGCAACTAATTATATCATTTGTAGTACTTGTGTAATAGTGATTAAAACATCTGAACCCTTTTAAAAAGTGGTATTGTACTGATAGTAAAAATAATGTGTAGTAACTCTCTGCATTGAGAACTATGAATAATATCTCAAAATTAGAATATATGACTCCTGGCTAGAGGTTGTACACTTGCTAAATCCTAATTAATTCCATTTTTTTACAACTTTGGAATGGAATCATAGTTTAAGGTGCTCTTTTGTTGGAACAGGCATTTATTGTTTCAGAAGAGAGATTCCACTGGGAGCGGAGTCATTTCCTTAGAGTACATTAGCCTAAGTGTCACTCTTTAACAAAGCTATGCAACAGCTGGACCACAATAGAAATTTACTATATTTTATTGCAATGAATGTGAAATATCAGTGTTCCTTCCAAACACAAGTAGCCAACAACGTACACACAAATGGGCAGAGCTAACCATTGCTAATTCATCTTAGATTTCCAAGTCCTTTGATTCAAGTATAAAAGTGTTTTAAAATTTCTTCACATTGCAATAGCTGTATCCAAAATAAATAAGACTTTCTTCTCACTATCCCACATGCCTTAGCCAGGCAATTATATTAATAAATGTCAGTGTACTATCTTGCACTTTGCTTCTTCTTCTTAATGTTTTGACTCAGGCTTCACCCTAGTTAAAGCTCCTTCTGGCATTTTCTCCAGTTTTATGGCTCCCTTTTTTTTTTCCAGTTCAGCTGGCCTTTGAGCTCCTCTTTTGATGTTCAGTATGTTTCTCTAGACAGTCTGGCCCCAACTCTTTGTCACTAATTTATTTTCGTATTGTGATCCATGATATACCCCCACAGGCTTTAAATAATTTCAAGAATGCTGTTTATAGTTGAGCAAATTATAACCTGCATAAAGGTGGAAAATGAGGGAGTAATGGAGAGGGTGGGGGTGGGGGGACTGCTGAAATCCAGCCTGGAGGAAAGGGTGCTTTTTCTAATTGGTCAATGGTAGTGCTTTAAAAAAAAAAAGTTGGGGGGCGATGACATGTAATTTTTAAACTCTCCACCTTTGTAGAGGTCATATACTTTAATTTTAAGGGCGTGTTACAAACCTATCAAATTTCTTAGCAAAGGCCAGCATTATTCAGTTGTTTTTTTTTTTTATACTTTAAGTTTTAGGGTACATGGGCACAACGTGCAGGTTAGTTACATATGTATACATGTGCCATGTTGGTGTGCTGCACCCATCAACTTGTCATTTAACATTAGGTATATCTCCTAATGCTATCCCTCCCAGTTTTCTTAACAGAAGGCCCAAAGTCAGTTCCTGAAAGCAGACAAGGTCTCTTTCCAATGACTAGTGTGTATCCTTCATGAAAGAACTGCTGAGTAGACAGTTTTTTTTTTTTTTTTGAAACTTGACTACTTGGAGGAGTTTTTTGTCCTAACATCTATTTTAAAGTTTTATTTAAAACAAGTCTATGTATTAAACTATTTTCCAGTTCAGATCTCTTAGACAGAAATAGTAGCAATGCATGGCGTTTCCTTAGTGTTTATCATATATCAGGCATTAAGCTTCATGCACATTCACATAATTCTCCTGGTAACCCTCTGGTAAGCTGCTATTACTTTCCATATTTTATAAATGATGAAAATAAGGTGAAAGAGTCAAAAGAGTCTTAAATGATAGGTTTGGTGTTTTTTTTTTTTTGTTGTTGTTGTTGTTTTAGACAGGGTCTTGCTCAGTCACCCAGGCTGGAGTATAGTGGCATGATCTTGGCTCATTGCAACCTCTGCCTCCCAGGTTCAAACGATTCCCATGCCTCAGCCTCCCAAGTAGCTGGGATTACAGTCATATCCAACCATGCCCGGCTAATTTTTGTATTTTTAGTACTCAGGGTTTTGCCATGTTGGCCAGGCTGGTCTTGAACTCCTGGCCTCAAGTGATTTGCCCACATTGCCCCCACAAAGTGCTGGGATTATATAGGCATAAGCCACTGCACACGGCCAGATTTGGTTTTAAAAGACAACCTACATTCTTGACAATTCCTGTCATCCTATTCAAAAGCATTGATGGTCATTTACTGATACTCTTGTCACAGAAACTCTATTTTATTGCTTTTTATATACACATTTTTATATGCTACAGCTTGTATGTGAGAAGAAAACTCAGAATTATGAATGGTTATTCATAGTTTCTAACAATAGAAACAATTGGCCAGGCGCGATGGCTCATGCCTGCAATCCCAGCACTTTGGGAGGCCGAGGCGGGCGGATCACGAGGTCAGGAGATCGAGACCATCTTCCCTAACACGGCGAAACCCCATCTCTACTAAAAATACAAAAACAAAATTAGCCGGGCGTGGTGTTGGGCGCCTGTAGTCCCAGCTATTCCGAAGGCTGAGGCGGGAGAATGGCGTGAACCCAGGAGGCGGAGCTTGCAGTGAGCCGAGATCGTGCCACTGCACCCCAGCCTGGGTGACAGAGTGAGACTCTGTCTCAAAAAAAAAAAAAAAAACAAACACACCAGGGCCTGTTGTGGGGTGGGGGGAGGGTGGAGGGATAGCATTAGGAGATATACCTAATGTTAAATGAAGAGTTAATGGGTGCAGCACACCAACATGGCACATGTATACATATGTAACAAACCTGCACGTTGTGCACATGTACCCTGAAACTTAAAGTATAATTTAAAAAATAATAAAATAAAACAAAACAAAACAAAAACCAAACCAATATCTTTCTTCCAACAATATGATTCAGTGGTGAGATTACAGTGGATAAAAGGTAACTTCAGATTTTTTCTGTGGAATGAGATGGGGTAAAGCATACAAATAACTAAGGTGGTATTGTTTTCTTTTTAAAATACAAAACAAATACCTATATATTAAAGACAAATTGCAAAAGTTTCTGAAGGACAGAGAAGAAATAATTGGCACCTGATCTTTTTTGTGAACCTGTTTTTTGAACAGAACCTGTTTTCTAAAACTTAGTTGAATCCATACAATATAAATACTGATTTCTATCCTACTTTTAAATTATGCCATTATTGGTTTTTATATTATGTAGTTTTCATGATAGCAGTCACCTGGCATCTTACCAAGCAGATTTACTATAGTCCACTTAACAGTCCTCTGTGTTAGGATATTCAATAGTTTTTCACCGTGGGAAGGCACCATTATAACTAATGCAGCAAGGATTACTTTTATTTTAAGTGGGGGTATTGTTAAGGAGAAAATAAATAGGCTTATGATGGAGAATTTGGAAGGAATATCTTTTTCCAAGAAAAATGTATCACTCCTTTATGCCACTAAGGAGTGATGAGCCACTTAAATAATTATGCAAGGGAATCCTTTCTGCAATGTAGTTGCTACCCTCCTGCTGCAATGCCTCCTTCACTAATCTAGTTCTCTGTAGACTGAATCACATGCTAATTTTTTTTTTTTTTTTTTTTTTTTTTTGAGATGGAGTTTTGCTCTTGTTGCCCAGGCTGGAATGCAATGGCATGATCTCAGTTCACTGCAACCTCTACTTCCCAGGTTCAAGCGATTCTCCTGCCTCAGCCTTCCGAGTAGCTGGGGTTACAGGCGCCCGCCATCATGCCCATCTAATTTTTGTATTTTTAGTAGAGACGGGGTTTCACCATGTTGACGAGGCTGGTCTGGAACTCCTGACCTCAGGCAATCCACCCGCCTCGCCTCCCAAAGTGCTGAGATTACAGGCATGAGCCACCACTCCTGGCCATCACATGCTAAATTTTTAACTCTTTTCTTGCTGCCACTCTTCAAGAAACAAACTTTACCATGGGATAGATACAGGCAAGATTATGAACCAAAATTAATGTTATTAATATTTTGCTTGTATTTAAAATTTAACAAAACATGCATGCTTAAGGCCTTGGTTCGTGGTGGGCATTCCAATTAGAGTATGGTAATATGACTTGGTCAAAAAAAAAAGAAAGAAAATATAATCTTCAGGATAACATATCAACAGTATACAATAAATTCAAATGTATATTAGTGTTATTTAACATGTAAGCATATATTATGTATGAGTGCCTTTATTCATCCGTTTATTTTCTTTAATATTCATTTAATTGACAATGTATTACCAGGCACTGTGAGAGATCAGTGAACAAGATATATCAAGTCTCTCTTTTTGTCGGGTTTACCTCTAGCTCAAGAGGCAGATAAAAAAAATCAGAATACCTATGAAATTTGAAATAATTTGAAGAGTGATATGAATGAGAATATCTGTAGGCGGCATATTTTGGTACATTAATGGGCAAATAATGATATCAGGTAGCAAGGGCTATAGAGAAAAAAATAAGGAAATAAAGAATGGTTGGGCAGAGTCAGTAGCTATTCAGATATACATGAATACTTGAGTGTGTTCTGACAGTTGCACAAATTAAATTATCCACATTTAGTATTATTTCTAAGGATATATCATTTATTTGAATACCATCTAAATTAATGCATTTGTGGCAAATAAATTAAATATGCTCATTTGCTTGAGAATTTCTATTGTTGATCTGGGAACAGACAGTGAGCTCTCACAGTTGCAGCTTTAACCTTGCCAATCACAGACTTCCTGTAAGTGCACTGCGTTATCTGGAACCTTTTCGGGGTTGGCGCTGGCATTCTTTTACTAGATTACATTTATGCATTAGTGCCATCTGTGCCTGCTGCACCTTCTGTGAGTTAGCCCTGGCCAAATGACTGGCATTTATCTGGAAGTTGGAGTGGGGGTGGGGTGTTTGGGGAGAAAGAGAGAGAGAGAGAGAGAGAGAGAGAGAGAGAGAAGAAGCGAGGAAATCCTAGAACATTTTACTCACTGTTGGCACAAGTGGAATTTAGGAAAGAAGACACATTGGTAAGCACAAAATATTTGCAGCTGGTGTCCCTGACTTAAACCCTTATAAAGCTAACTCTATTCATTTGCTCTCTCTTGAAAAATAAAATATAATACCTATTTATTTTTAGGCAATGATATGCAAAAGAAGCTAAAACCAAACATTTAAATAAGGAAGTACAACAAAGCACATTTGCAAGATTTTCAAGTTTGGCAAAATTATGTACACAATTTGAATATGTGTGCACTTATATGACAAATATACATAATGTGAGGTTTGGTTTAGTTGATTAGATTTGGTAGACCACTCGAATTGGACTTTGTATTGATAAATGGGCTGAAATGTAGATTTACTAATATTACAATTCTATTTAGGAAAATTATGGCTATATTCAACATATAATCAGGATACTAAATTATTCTGTAGAATCTTTCTGGGATTATATTATTTTAAATTGTATTGCAAAATAGATCAACAACTCTCATATCTATAATACACTTTAGAGCTGTAAGCGGAAATAAATAGATAAATAATTCTCCAATCAGTAAAAATAGATGTTGAAAAGTTTCAGCTCGTTTACACTATATCTATTTTTATCTTATACCTACTTTTAGTATGCTTGATTATCTGGTTTCCATACTGCTTCCAAATTAGAAACAGTGAAATAGAATTGGGGCAGAGGGGCTGCTAAAGATGGGTACTACACGTTAGTGGGAGGTAATAGTTGCAAGGAAAAGAAGGAGAGAATGAGAGGACAGACACATGACTCAGACAAGCACTGCAGTATGGGGCCATTCAGTGCAAGAAGAAACAGCTTCTTATTCCCCAGTATGCCCTGACAGCACTGATGGACCACATCCTGATAATCAACGTTCATAATTATAAAACTTTATCTTCAGCATGAAAGCATGTGCAGACAACACATTTTAGGAAGATGGAAATGTGAATATGTTCTTGAAAAGAATTCCATCCAAAATGAAAAATATATACTTTTAGAACTTAATGTAGTTAATCCACAGCTTTCCTTGAGTACTAGCTTGTGTTGTACTGTAGGTTTTAGGGATCAGAGTTCACTTTCTACGGTCTAAAATAGGTAAGGCCTCTCTTATATAAGTTCTCCTAATATATCTTATATTCATCTTCATAATACATTTCAGATTTAAATTGTAATGTATTTAATTTCTGTAATAAAGGTAGGCTTTTTTCTGTTTTCATTTGATAATATTTTATTATCTCTAATATAGTTTTAAAAGAACTATACAAGTATCCAAGACATAGAAATTCATTAGTGCTATAGTGATTATGATTATGGGTGTTGGAGGTTGATTCTTCTGTGTGCAAATCTTGGTCCTGCCACTTACTTGCTAGGAAGATTTGAGTAAATGACTTGCCCACTCTGAGCATCAGTTTCCTCATCTATAAATTCAGTATAATAGTACTTGTCACAGGACCGTTGTAATGATTAAATGGTTCCAGAGCTTATAAAGCATTTAGAGAAGCACTTGGGGTATAAAAAGAACTACATTGTATGATGGTTAGTCATTTTTATTATTGCTCTTGTTGTCGGAAAACTATTATATACATGTGGAACTTAGAAGGTTATAGTTCAAATTATACTTTAAAAGATGTTTGTAACTGGTTTCCCTGCTTTACTTTTTTTTGTATATTTGCATATATATCAGTTTGGAAAGGTCTTCAGAATCACAACAGTATTGTTCTGTTAGCTGTAGGGGAAAAGATGCCATAACGTAAAATGCCTGGGGGCCTATCTCAGCTGAGAATCTTGTCCTTGCATCAACATTAAGAACAGCTAGCCACAACTTTATTCTTTCTCCTCTTTCACTGACAACACTCAGAATATTTACTTTTGTTGTTGTTGTTGTTGTTGATACTGAGTCTCGCTCTGTTGCCCAGCCTGGAGTGCAGTGGCGCAATTTTGGCTCACTGCAACTTCCACCTCCCAGGTTCAAGCAATTCTCTGCCTCAGCCTCCAGAGTAGCTGGGATTACAGGCATCTGCCACCACGCCCGGCTAATTTTTATATTTTTAGTAGAGATGGGGTTTTGCCATCTTGGCCAGGCTGGTCTTGAACTCCTGACCTAGTGATTCACCCGCCTTGTCCTCCCAAAGTGCTGGGATTACAGGGGTGAGCCACTGCGCCTGCCCTCCCAACACGCCTTTTTAAAATTTATTTTTATTTTTTTATATTTTATGGCCAAGTCTGTGAGCCCAGTAGTGGTCATCTATTTCCACCAGAAATTGTAGGCAATAGACAGGGAGACCCGTATTATGGCCAACTTAAACGACTGAGAGAAGAGGGCTGGTGAGAAAACAGCAATTCTTTTGCCCCGCACTCTAAATTATTAGGATAATTGTACCCTGAAATACTTCTTCTCCAATTATTACATAGAGCTAAGATTTTGTTGGACTCTGTTAACCATTCTCTTGGGATTAGGATAATGATGTTTCTAAAATATAATTTTGAGTTACACTTGAGTTTTGAAATGTCAGGTATTTTCTTGGCTTTATGCCTTGCAAATATATGTATATATAAAGCACTAATTTCTTTGTACATGCCCTAATTGGTTTTGTTAGATTAAAATGAATTGACCACATGATAATTATAATAACTATATTTATAGATAACCATGCATTAGTAATTTATAAAAAAGATTGTCATAACTTTTAAAAGAATTTAGTAAATGTTTTTTTATTCAAACACAAATCTTTCATACTATTCTTATTACTGGCATATAGATTTTTTAAAATTTGTATATATCTGGAATGTACCTTATTACTCCATTTTATGAATTATGATAATTTTTCAGTTGATTTTTAAAATGCTATAAATAATGACAATATTTTTACTATGGTAAAACATGTATAACATAAGACTTACGATTTGAATAATTTTTAAATATACGATTCAGTAGCATTAAATATATTCACATTGCTGTGCATCTGTCACCACTATCCAACTCTCTTTTTCATTATCCCAGACTGAAACTCCCTACCCATTAAACAATAATTCCCAATTCTGTCCTTCCCCTAATTCCCAGTAACCACTATTTTATTCTGTCTCTATGAATTTGAATGTTTTAGGCAACACATATAAGTGGGATCATACAATATTTGTCCTTTTGTGTCTGGCTTATTTCACCTGCCATAGTGCCTTATGGTTCATTCATGTTGTAACATGTATCTAAATTTCGTTTCTTTTTCAGACTGAATAATACTTCATTGTATGTATATGACACATTTTATCTATTAGTCCATGGAGAGACACTTGAATTGTTTCTACTTTTTGGCAGTTATGAGTAATGCTTCTATGAATATGGGTGTACAAATATCTGTTTGAGTCCCTGCTTTCAGCTCTTTTAGGTGTATACACAGAAGTGGGATTACTGGATCATGTAGTAATTCTATGTTTAATTTTTTGAGGAACTACCATTCTGTGTTCCACAATGGCTACACCATTTTACATTTCCACCAGCAATGCATGAGGATTTCAGTCTTTCCACACTCCTGCCAACACTTGTTATTTTCTTTATTTTTTTCTTGTTCTTTTGAATAGTAGCCATCCTAATAGGTGCGAAGTATGATAATGGCAGTTCTTTTCAGCTTCTACTTTTTTGTATCTGTAAACAGGTCATATGCATTTTTAAAATTGTATTTTATTGCATATATTTAAGGTATACAACATAATGTTTTAATATACACATACAGACAGTCCTTCTTATCTGTGGGTTCCACATTCTCAGATTCAATCAACCAAATAATACTATAACGATAAAAATAATACAAATTTCTAAAATATAGTATAAAGTATTTGCATAGCATTTACATTGTATTAGACACTATAAGTGATCTAGAGATTATTTAAAGTATACAGGAATATGTAGGTAGGTTATATGCAAATTTTATATCAGGGACTTGAGCATCTGCAGATTTTGATATCTGCCAGGTGGGTCTTGGAACCAATCCCTTGTGGATACTGGGGAACAACTGTACATAATGAAATGATTAATACAGCAAAACAGATCAACATATCCATCACCTTCCATAGTTACTGTGCACAGGTGAGTGCGTGTGTGTGTGTGTGTGGTAAGAGCTCCTAAAATCTACTCTCTTTGCTAATTTCCAATATATGATACAGTATTTTTGTAACTCTTTTTTGTTGTTTAGATTTTGCATTTAAGTGAAATAAATAGTACAGTACTTTTTCTATGTCTGTTTTTGTTCGCTTGCCACAGTGTCCTTTAGATTCATCTGTTGTCGTAAATGCCAGTACCTCCTTTTTTTTAAGGCTGAATAATATTCATATATATATATATATACACACACACACGCACATATATATACACACATATATACACATATGTATATATGCACACGTGTATATATACACATATATGCACACGTATATATACACATATATGCACACGTATATATACACATATATGCACATGTGTATATATACACATATATGCACACATGTGTATATACACACATATATATACACACATATATATGCCACAATTTCTTTATCCATTTATCTGCTGATGGATACTTACATTGTTTCCATATCTTGGCTACTGTGAATAAGGCTGTAATCAACATGAAAATGCAGATACCTGTGCAGTTACTATACATTCCCAGCTCAGGCATTTTTGCTTGGCATAGGAATACAAAGAGAAAAGACTTAGATAATAAGTTAGAGTAACTTCACAGCAGATTTCCTATGTAAGAAATGTAGTTGGACTTCTTAGTTTATTTAAAAATACCTACAGATGTGATATGTTCAACTGTTTCCATATTTGATGAAATATGTATTTTTAATAATCGTTACTTTAATATGCAAGTCTTTACAAATCTTTTTACATTTTCATGTTTCTTTCTAAGCTTAAAATCAGATTTCTTTATTTGCTTTGATATGGCAATCATCTTCCTCCTCATCCCACCCATGTAAGCTAACACAACCTGCTAGATGGAAACTTTGATCTGTAGTTTGTGAAATGGTAGGATTAGAGCTAGAGCCTTCTGACATCAACATAGGCACATTCCTATCTCATCAATAACATGGTATAACAAACTTTTTTATAGAAATGGTTGGGATTGCTATGTTTTGGTAAATTGAATATCATGGTTAACTAAATTCCTTCAGAAACATACACAAGAACATGTGAACCAAATATAGGGTGTTAATTCTTAAAGATATTGGATACATATTCTTATTTAAAAGTATTTATTGATTTATTGAACATAAACTAATCAATTAATTCAGCAGAAACTTAATTATCTAGAAAGTTTGCCATAGCCATTATTTTGAATATCAATTTTGATGTACAATCATTCCAAGGTAAAGCACATACAACATTGAAGTCATTGTTTAAGGATACACTCATTGATGGTAGATATTTTCTGAGTCCACTTTGTTAGGTATAGTTCGTCTTTTTCTCATAAATGTGAAAAGCAACCAAAGAAAAATGCTTTAAAAATTCTTCATGTCTGAAGAACAGCTGAATGACATTAATATTTTCTTTGTCAGACTTCAGTTGCTTAAAACTTAACTTGTTCATAGACACCACCTCTGTGATAATGCAATTAAGCAGATAGATGAACATTGTTACACTGATAGTACTCAGTGGTTACTGCTAATTAATTTATTCACTGGCTGATTTGTAAAGGTGTTATTTTTAATGTCACTCAATAAGATGTGACCCTAGTCATACAAAGAGAATGACTCTCTTGATATAATCTTTTAAAAACTGGAAATAAATTTTGCAGAACCTGAACAATGTCAAATCAACTGTGGAAAATGTAGGTCCTGAAAATTAGTATTATTATAGCAAAGAGATTATGTTTTTGTTAATTTTGAGTCTCAATAACCTTCCCGATTGAAGGTTACTATAAAGTAATACATTTACATGGTGTTAGCATTTTAACCAATATTTGTGCCTGGAATTCAAATTTGCTTTTTCTTATTTCCGTATGCTCTGTTTTAAACATATGTTAAATTGGATATTTAAAAATAGAAGTGCCCAAGAAACCTGCATAAATTTTTTTTTATTATCTAAGGCTTTAATGCCATCATCATTAAAAAAAAAAAAAGGAAAGAGTGACTATAATTTAAGTCTGTAAAACGACTTTTAATAGCACCAAATAGAATGAACAGCTGGCTTGCTTTTTGCAAGGTGCATTGATGTTGTCAGAAGAAACTAAATAAAAATGCTGATACAGTTGTCCAGGTTTGGGTTTTGCCAGCACAAGAATATTTTATTCATTCAGCCTTCTCTAAGTTCAAAAGATTGGTGTTGACTTTGATGAAAAGATACAATGATACATATTTAGAATGACCGATCTTTCACATTTAAATCTTAAAAATGTGCTGCTGCAGCTGGATTTTTCTCAGGGATGCCATTCAAACAAAATGTTACATTGTCATCTCATATAGCTTTTCTATCTGTAATGATAGGATGTTAGGTGAGAGTATGACAGTTCAGCACAATTTTTATTATGGCATTGTACTGATACATGAACACTAGGACCTTTTTTGTTTGTTTCAGTCAACAAAGATGTATTTTCAAGTGAAAATATTTTGAAATAGAATTTTAGTTGTTTCACTTAAAAACTATAGCAGAGATTAAATTTAAAGGAAGTAAGCTTTGTGAACACTAGATTTTTTGTAGTTGCAGTTTTCTGTACTTTCATGTTCCTAATGCTAAAAAATCTCTGTGTTCTAGTCCTGCCATGGAGTTACTAATTTTTATAATAATCTCTTGCCAAAAGAAGAACAACTCTGATAATGCATTAGAGATTAAGAACTTTTTCATTAACTTTAAAAGTGCTATAGTAATTGAAATTGGTTTATCCAGTTATGTTTCATTTCTATTTATTTATTTATTTTAGACACAGGGTTTTGCTCTATCACCCAGGCTGTAGTGCAGTGGTGTGATCATAGCTCACTGCAGCCTCAAACTTCTGGTTTCAAGCAGTCCTCCTGCCTAGGCCTCCCAAAGTTCTGGAATTACAGGCTTGAGTCACTTTGCACCTGGCCTTTTTCGTTATTTTAAAGAATGTTTTTAACCTTTTAAAATTTCCAAATCTTTACTTGTTGATGAAGTACCCAGTATTTAAACCTTTACACTTGTCAGCAAATGCTATCAATTTTGAGAGCATTTTAAAAATATGTATTTGGGCATGGACATAAAGATAGAAATAATAGACACTGAGGACTCCAAAAGAAGAGAGGGAGAGAGGAGGGAAAATGTTGGAAAAACTACCTGTTGGCTACTATGTTCACTATTTGGTGATGGGTTCACTGGAAGCCCAAACCCCAGCATTATGCAATACACCCATATAACGAACCTGCACATGTACTCCCCAAATCTACAATTAAAACAATATATGTGTGTGTTTTTGGAAATCTTCATGAATTGTGCTTTATTTTCTTTTCCAAATTTAATAATGTTAATAATTCATAAATACAGAAGGATTCCTCCCTGATGCATAACTTGGTGTCTGGAGTTGTATCAACACACATAGAGACAGCGCATGTGCTCTGCCACTTGTGTGAAGAAAAACCATGCTTCTTCTACAAATATTTATTTATTTGACAGGGAATAACAGAGGCATAAAGGAAAATAAATACCTATGAAGTCAGTTAACTGTGCACTGATTTAAACACTTTCACTACTTCATTATATGTGTACATGTGTTAATGACCACTTTTGCTTGTCAAATTGTGTGTTGTATTTCGATCTAAGGCTCACAATGGCCTTAGAATACATATTTCATCCCCATCTTTTCTGTCTCTTGGTAGCTTCAGCATGAAGCAGACCCCACTTCCTACCATCTGCTTTCTCCTTGGAACTGACACCAAGGTCAGCTCCTCTCCGATGCCTACTTGTTTCCTGGTTTAGAACACTTGCATCCTGTAGTTCAGCCACTTCCCTATTAATTGATGGGCCACACATACAGGAAGCAGAACATCTAGGCCTACTTGAATATTCATGTGACTAAATAAGCCAGGAAGACTTTTGCCTGTGGAATGTTTACCACTATTGTTTCCTTACAAGTCAGTTAGCAAAAACTGAAATATCATTTTATAGTTTTGTGTTTGTATTTTTAGACAAGTCGACCATTGTATTTTGTTTTATGGCTTGCTAGTCATTGTGTTATTGCACTGAAACTTTCAATATTCATACAGATGCAATATCAATTATATGCTTTAGATAGCTATTGACTACCTAAATCAAATTTAATATTTCAAGCCCAGTAGTGATCATTCATTCAGCTAATATTTTTAAGCACTCATCCTATAGGATGAGCACTGTTTTAAGCACTTGTTAAATGATAGTGAAAAAGAAACATGGAGCTTACAGTCTAGGAAAGAAGATGGATGTTAAACAAATTAGATTTGTTTGCTAAAAAATATTAGAAGTGTAAACACTGAATCAACTTTGCTGTTATCCAAAGTCTAATTATATTATTTGATTTATCTAAGATAATACATTAATTATATTCTTTTTGTTTTAGAAAGCCATTTTGGCTTAGAATATAATTTTTTGCAGCTAACCTTGTATTTGTATCTCTGTCTCTATATATCTGTGTTATCTATGTATCTACACGAGCTCTGGACCCAATATTTGACTTGTAGGTAGACCTAAATTTCAGTTTCATGTTCTTGGATTTATGTTGAGTTATTACATGTATGTCTTCAGCATTCTTTAGTTCTCTGGATCAAGAAGCAAACTGTTCTTTTTACATAAAGCTAACTTAATACATATTAGTTTTTAGTCAATTAGTATTTTGAAACACTATCATAATTATGTCTCTACTTATTTGAATGTATCTATATGCTTGTATGTGTTAAATGTTTAACCTTTGAAAGGTTACATTTTTCATTTTAGGGATTAATTATATCTCTAGAGATGGTTTAATATTTCCATAACTTTTTTAAAGACTTACTCATGTTAGTTAACATAAGTTGTTTAGACTAGGAGTGCCTGCATTCATTAAGGACAAAATTGATGTGTGTTTAGTTTCTTTACAAACTGTGAGCAAGGAATCACCATTAAATGCCATTGTATATTCATTGATCAGTGAAATCACATCTGGGTCACAGTGGCATCTATGTTTACAGTATAAATCCCTGTGGCTATGAATGAAAGGCTTGTTTAGACTTGCATCTGCACATAGAAGTAGGGATTTCATGCTGTTATCAGCCTAATTTTAGCCTATAGAATTTCAAGTTTGCTAGAGGTTTTGCTCTCCATGGTATAAGTTTAGCAAGAAAAGTCATTTGTCTGCTGCTCTAGCAGTTTAGAATGTGGAAGTATAGTGTGCAGAGTTTTAATCCGTATATGTTATTAAAACATATACATCATTTTATATCATACATCTGTAATAAATATTCAAAATTAAATAGTGATTTGGGATTTATTACATCTTATTACTAGATGTAATAAATGACCTCAGTGATTGTTTAAAATTGTTTTTCTCAAATATAATAAAAATACCTAAGGCATAAATCGATTGTCCAAAAATTGAATATATATACACACCTCTTCCATTAGAACTAAATATGTGCAATGTGTTCACTAAACACTTGCTGTGGTGAAAAACAAACCAACCAACCAACCAACAAACAAACAAAAACACAACATCACAGTAACTAAGTTTCCAGTTAAAGATTTAGGCATATTTTTCATAAAAAATTTTTATTCGTAAGCTTTCAGAAAGTAATCCATAATTGCCCTTCAAAATAAAGCTTCAAAAACTATACATTTCTACAAAGTCTTATCCATAAAACATCAATTCAGAAACTTAAAGTGAAGTTTTATAATATTTGTGCTAAATCAGTTAGTCTCAAATTGTATAGGAATTTAGCTGTTTGGCAAAATGACCCAAAGAGCTATGGACATTTTTAAGTAGAGACAGCTAATGAAAATCTATATGAATCCAGTGGAGGCTTTTAGTTATTAATTTTTTGACTAGGACAGTATACATTGCTTTAGAGTCCTAAAAGTGAGGATTTAATTCTTAGAAACCTAACTTAACTAGGAATAAATCAATGTATCACTAGAGCCATATACATTAGGAAAATCTCAATAAATGTTTTTCAATGTTGATATATAAACATTCAGAATTTCTCTTTAAATGTGCCAAAAGCAACTTGATAAGGCAAATGAATTTTCTTAATGCCTAATTTTCTAAGAAGAAATACATGAATTGCATGTAAACTTTTTGCTATGTGGTGTTAACAAGTGAGGTTAAAAAATTTTAAGTCTAGAAATACTGTAGCAAAAAATTACTATTTTCATGCTAGCATTCTTCCACTCTAAGCAAACTAATTTATACTGTTTCCCACCTGATAGTGATGTAATATGCCTTTCATTTGGATTTTTTTCTAAATGCATGATTCAAATATAGATTTTGTTTGCAATTAGCCATTATTTGACATGAAGATTGTAGTTTGGATTCTTTAGTCTGATATTGTCTGATGGGTATTTTTTGCTTGTTTTGTGTTGTACATGTGAATCTTAAGAATTTGAAATATAAGTCACTTATCTTAACTCCATCTGCAGTAAAAGAGATGAGAATGGATCCAGATGTTAATTTTGTATAATTAGTAATGTGCTTTAGAAAAAGATTTATAGGTGACTGCTACCAGGCTTTGTATAGTAAGATCTCTGCCTTCTGTTTGACCACATCTTCTACTTTCTGCATTGCTCACTGTGTTCCTGCCACATTATCTGTCTGCCTTTTCCACAGATATGACAAAGATGTTTTCCCCACAGCCTTTGCCCTTGCTGGTTTCTCTACTACCTATATACTTTTTATAAAATTGCAACTTCTCCAGCACTCATCCCCAACACACGTATATACTGATATTCTGTGCCCTCTTACTCTGATTCAGATTTGCCTTTTAATTTTGGCATAGATTATTCATAGGTGGTGCTATGTACTTTACATTGCATCACATAAGATGTTACATGTTTAATGATACCAAGATTGATCAGAGGAGGCAGGTAGTAAAAGCCTGATCCATCATATTGATTGCTGTATATTTTTGACAAGAAGCCATTCGTCTTTGATTAATTTCTTTCATTTTGGCATAATATGTCCCAGACACATCGTTTGCATTTTCTGTTCCAAAACTGGAATCAATGATTCAACTCTAAGGAGTCCTAGATTTGTTTTTAGTAGATAATGGTATTTAGAGAAAACATTTTGAGTACTAGGGGTGCTAATTTTTACTGTCATTGCTTTTAGGCCTTTCCAGCAGGCAGAGCTAGGAAATTCAGTAGTTTTGGGAAAAAAATGGTGAGTTAATAGTATATTTATAATTCCCACTTAGCATTAAAGGATTTTACTGAATATTTTTGAATTTATATTTACATCTGTTTTCTCCAACATGAAAAATCTTAGTCTTAACAATATTAATGTAATTACTTGTCTGCCCTATCATTTTTTATATATATATATATATATATATATATATATATATATATATATATATATATATATAAAATATGTATTAGGATTCTCTAGAGGGACAGAACTAATAGGATAGATGTATATATAAAAGGGAGTTTATTAAGGAGTATTGACTCACACGATCACAAGGTGAGGTCCCACAATAGGCCATCTGCAAACTGAGGAGCGAAGAAGCCAGCCCAAGTCCCAAAACCTCAAAAGTGGGGAAGCTGACAGTGCAGCCTTAGTCTGTGGTCAAAGGTCCAAGAGTCCAAAAGCTGAAGAACTCAGAGTCTGATGTTCGAGGGCAGGAAGTATCCAGCATGGGAGAAAGATATAGGCCAGAAGACTAAGCCAGACTAGTCTTTCCATGTCCTTCTACCTCTGACCATGCTGGTAGCTGATTAGATGGTGACAACCCAGATTGAGAGTAGGTCTGTCTTTCCAAGTCCACTGACTCAAATGTTAATCTCCTTTGGCAACACCTTTGAAGACACACCCTGGAACAATACTTTGCATCCTTCAATCCAATCAAGTTGACATTCAGTATTAACCATCACATTATATAACTATGAATTAATAACAAATAGTAAAATTAAGACTGGTGAATTAAGTGAAACATTTCTTTGCTTCTCCATTTATCCTTCGTTCATATTCTAATGTTGCTATACAGGCAAAATACTGCGTTAAGTCACTTGAAATATTTATTTTCTGTATGTGGTCTTGTGTCCAGTTTATTTGTTCCAGTTCTTAAGTTTACTGTATTTGATTTCTATTTGCCATATCCATTCTTTTTTCTTCTGTTCCTTTCTTCCTCTTTTAGATTAACAATTTTTTTCTTCTATGTTCTATCTCCTCTGTTATCTTTTTAGCCATTTCTCTATCTTGTTTTTCATTGCTTGCTCAGGAAATAACAATATACTTTAACTTTCAGTATAACATCAAATAATATTAAAGTAGTTCAAGAACAATATGCGAACATTGCAGTGGTATAATTTCCATTTTTTTCTTTCTGTTCCTTATGCTCTTGTCATGTATTCTACTACTACATATGTTATGAATTCAATATGTTATTATTTATTCCTTTAAGTAATAGTGTCATAAAAATTTATTTTCTTTATTTATATTACTTGTGTATTTAGTCACATATTTACTATTCTGTTTCTCTATTTCTTCCTGCAAACCTGAGCTTCCATCCCCAGTGTCTTTTTTCTTCTGTCTCAAGAACTTTTCGCACTTGTTAAAAGCTATTGTGGATAAATGATCTCATATTTTGTTTGTCTGAGAATGTCTTTAGTTTTAAAGGGTATTTTCTCTGAATGGAGACATCTTAATTGATATTTTTCCCCATTTACTATTTTAGAGTGTTCCATAGCCTCGTGTCCTTCATTGTTTTTTAATAAAAAGTCAACTGTCGTGCTTATCACCATTCCCTCTTTATATCTCATTGTGGGGCAGGGTAAGGGGAAAGAGTTATGCTTTCATGACATTCTTGGTTTTCAGAAGTTTAACTCTATATTCCCTGGGTTTCTATGTATTTATCCTTCTCATGGTTAACTGAGTTTCTTTGATCTGTAAGTTTGTGTCTTCTATCAATTCTAGGAAGTTCTGAGCATTTATTTTTCAAGTAGTTTTTTAGCCCCATTTTTTGTCCTCTCCTTATGGGACACTTATTACTTATATGACAAACCATTGGATATTGTCTCATAGGGCTCAGATTCTCCTTAGTTATTTTCTTCTTTATTTTTTAATTTGAACAATATCTATTCTCCTACCTTCAAATTCAGTGAGTGTTTCTTCTGCTGTGTCCGTTCTACTTTAACACCAATCAAATACATTTTTTATTTCGGATATTGTATATTTTCTCTTTAGTTTTGGTATCCTATTATTACAGTTTCTTATTTATAGTTTCCATCTCTTCTGATGTTCCCAGTATCTTTATGCATGTTACCTGCCTTTTTTGCCAGATCTTTTATTATTTTTATCATAGCTATTTGAAGTCCATGTCTATTAACTGCAACATCTAAACCACCTGTAGATTTGCCTATATTATCTGTGTTTTCATTGATTATGAGTCATACTTTTATGCTTCTTTGTGTGTACCATAATTTGTAATTTTATACTAGATATTGGGAATTAAAAAAGAGACTCGTCTGGTAACGTTTACCCTTAGAAAAGCACATACCACTTCCTTTGTCCTGTTGCTAATCTGTAGTTAAGTTTTACTCTTACTTATTTTTAGTTCACTAGTAGCTTTCATGAATTTGAGGATAGGATTAAGGATTTGCCTTCAGTAGAGAGTTATCTCTATCTCTCTTGCTTTTTCCATTACAGTTCATCAGCAAGCTTGTAAAGTTGCAGCGGAGGTCTCTTTTGTCTCTAACTGCCACAGTCCCCTTAACTGGCCAAACTTTCTGTACCTTGGGAGACCCACTTTCAAACTGATTTTCTGCCTGCAGACTTGGACTGGCCAATGACTTGCAATCTGAGAGGGCCCCATGAGTTTTGGTGGGATACTTCTCAGTTCTGCTTCCAGGTTTCAGCAGGCTGCCACCTTGTGGTTGGGGAAGGCTCTGGGTCCCTCAGGGCTATTTTTTTTTCTTTCCTCTTGCCATGTCCCAAACCTTCAGTGGGCTGCTTCTATTCCCTTTGAGAAGGCTCCATGTGCCTTTGGAGGAGGAAATATTTCTCTACCCTCTTGCCTTTCTCCCAGCCTTCAGTTGACTACTTCTTGGCTCTCAAAGAAAGCCTCAGATACTGTGGTAGGACCTCTCCACACCAGCTTTCCTGCCATGTTCTATGCTTTTGGCAGGCCTCCGCCTTGCACTTAGTGAAGTTTATTTTAATTTGTTGGGATTTCTTTTTATTGTGTAACTGTTTTTCAAAAGTCAAACATTTACATGTTTGTATTTAATAGCATATAACAAGATATATTGAAATTTATCTCATTTACATTCTTATTCAGTCTACTCTGTACCTCTCACCTGTTGCTAACCAATTTTATTTTCAAACGAATTATTTTTTTCTTTCCCTTTAAAAATTAAGCATATGTTAATGCCAGTGTATCTTTCTTTTTTGTAATATAAAAGATGCTATAGTGTGTATACTATATGCTCCTTCATTTTAACCCCCTTCATAAATCCTGTTCATCACTCCACAATGGTGTATAGAAATTTTCCTCATTCTTTCTAACAGATGTATATTATTTATAGCATTCCATTTTCTATCTGTATCTTAATTTATTCGACTTTTCTCTTCCTGGTGGACATTTGGATCATTTTCAATTTCTTGTTAACACCAGTAATGCTACAATATTCATAAATTGCTTTCTGTTTTTTTATTGCTTTAAGGTCATATTATGAGAAATTTTTTTACTATTGATTTAAGATCTATGAAATGATCTGTATTCTAATTGAGATTAGAAAGCAGAAAACAATTTCTACATTATCTACTATGTGCCTCACAAAATAAATGTTAAGCAACTAAAAAGGTATATAGAATTCTGTCCTGATTATATCTATATCTATTTATTAATACCTTTGGGGCATCTACCTCCCATTTTGACTTATTAGGAAGCACAAAAGAAGGTATTTCCAACAAAGATTTTTATAGATATCTATATCTACATCTAGATATGTATCTTACTTGGAATTAATAATTTAGAAGCATCTATTTCATCTTATGAGGTGTGGTTTAGGTGTACCATTAACTGCCAACTGTATGCCTGAATTTCAACAAATATTTAAAAATGGGTATTTGCAAAATAAATATTAACCATATGTATAGAGTCACTGAAATTTTGCAGGTGCCATGACAGATTAAAGATACTGAATAAAAAACATTTAAAGGTAAATTTTTCAGCCAAACTCAGAACTTCTCTTCATGACATCTACTGAATATCCATATGGTGCGTGGTCTCTACTGTAAAATTGGACATTTATAGGTTGAGCTTCCATTAGAAAAGAGTATGTGGAATTTATATTTCAGCTCAAAATTTTGCAGTTTTATTTAGAGCAAAAGATAGCACAGATTCTTTATGTATATATATATATATAGAGAGAGAGAGAGAGAGAGAGAGAGAGAGAGAGGGAGAGAGACAGAGACAGAGACAGAGACAGAGAGAGAAAGATGTGATACTACATGCCTTTTCTTCAGTTCTGTATCTCCATTTGCTACAGAAAATCTCTACTCAAAATGGCTATTGTGTTCTCAAGTCTCTCCTTATATCAGTGATTTCCTGGACCTCTTGATTTGTCTCTGTGTCTATGCGTGTGGATGCTTTGTATACAATTTTAAATTTGAAACACTCTTTACTGTCGTACACAACATGAAGGTTTAGTAACCTTTTTTTAGAAGTGATTTATAAATAAATCAGCTAACTGTGTTTGAAAAGTCTAAACTAAAGTGCAGTTGTTTGCTTCAGCTTGTCAATGGATATTTATGAGGTGAGCATAATACTATAACAGTTATAGCAGTGAAATACATCCTGTGCAGATAGCTAGTAAAGGAGCTCACAAGCGTTAATGCCAGTGGAATTTTAATGCTCAAGAGATGGGAGACATGACACTTGCTCTGGTTAATGCTGCTATTACCGGCCATGGTGAAAATGAGACAGTGAAGTCAGTTTTAAATATTGCAGTGGAGTTGGGGTCTCTATACCTAGGCAACAGCAAATATGTCAGTTCCTACTGTTGTCATATTTTCACCTCTTGGTTTATTTAACTGCAGAGTAGTAATGTAATATCAGACATTTTTCTTCAGGGCATCTCCATTCCCTTCTTACTTATTATGAGGCTCATGAGAAGGTTTTGCTAGCAACAATTTCTGGGAAAATGTCAATAAGCTTCCCACTCTAAGATATACTAATCATTGCCTGAAAATTATTTGAGTGAAGTTAAAGATTCCGATTGTGAGTTTAGCCTTTATTATGACCAGACTTTTGTTTCTGTCATATCCTTGGTACATTCTGTATCTTCTTATACAGAAGAAAAGTGTGTAATAGAATAAAGTTTCCACACAGAGCTGTGCTCTTTGTGATGAATTGAAACTGTTAATACATTCCAATTTGTAAAGAATTATATTGTGCTTACTTTTGCCTAGCAGGCAAAGAAAATGAAGTTTTCAGTCTTCAGACAGATTTGTTATCATAGAAGAACTTTGGGATTATGTGAAGAATAGTATGGTTTCACCATGCTTGCATGTATAAACTTCAAGTTCATATTAATTTTTCAACTTAGTTCAGGTTAAGTTCAAATTAATGATAATTTGACATCATGAGGTATCTACAGAGTACCTCATTAAGCCCTAAGAGAATAAGAAAAAGCAACACAGAAAGCATATGGTCTTTTTGCATAAGGTACAGGTTTAGGCAATTCTTTATTGGAGGATTGTAGAGGTTAAGAGGGGTTCAGATATTCTCCGTGACTGAGAAAGTTAAGAATCAAGAAAGAAACCTTTATTAGTTTACATTTGCTTATACCTAGTCTACTTCTAAAGAAGTATTGAGAAAAAAAATAGTCAAACCTCAGAAGAACAAAAATTGGGAAATAATAATAAGCCGAAGTCAAGATATGGTTATAACAGAAAATGTACACTGAGGCTAGCAATTGCTTTTAGGACATCTTATAAATCTGAGCTTCCTAAAAGCCAAGACATAAAGAGAAAGACGTTAAGTTGTATAGTTGCCATTATATAATAAAAGGGAAACATGAGCTTACCAGTATTGACAAACTTTTTCCTAGCTCTGAACACCAAGGAGAATTGGTCCCTTAATATCAGTATCCTTAATAGCAATTTTCCAAAATGATAATTCTCCTCATATGACCAAAATTCACAGGGCTCTTCATATAACCAAAAAAAAAGAGAGAATGCTATATTGTTTATGTAGATCGACGAGAAGATCTAAAGAAAAGAAATCAAGTCTATATATACAGATAGTTTACTAGTGATCTGACTTGACACAGGCATGAAAATATCTGGACTATTAGTTATCAAACTACATTTTTAGCACAGACAAAATCTTATACTGAATTGCAATTTTAAAAGATAGATAAGAGTGGAGCATTAGGTTTGAGAGGCCTGCAGTTGTGCCTGCTTGTTCCCTTCTCATGCACTACCCCAGCCACAGTGACCTCTGAGTCACCTTGCAGAAAAGCCACAGGACTTCGTGGTTTACACTATGAAAAAACCATTGACCTAGAGAAATAAATGGCTAGCATTCCACTTAGAGTCAACTGGGAGTAGTTTTGCAAACTGATAGGGAGAGAAAGGATTCTAACATTATTACAGGTAAATACCTGAGGTATAAATATTCTATATTGTTAATTGCATAGAGAAATTATATGCCCTAGATATTGGGTATGTGGTTAAAAGTTTGATGTGGTATGAAAATTAAAGAGCCTCTCTTATATTTATTTCAATGTAATGAACTCCAGCATGCACAGGACATGAGGTAGGTTGTACATGTGTGCTGACATGCACTTATAGACATACACACAAACACATTTTTAACAATTAGATAGCCAGTTGTGACCTTGCCAAATGCTTTAACAGGCATTTTATTGAAACTTTTATAATTTTGTATGATAAGAAGAAAATGCTGATGGTGGATTATAAAATTTATTAATAAATTTTCTACCATATAAATGTGCTCTTGAGTCAAACTGCATTACAGTGGGTACACCAAGATAGTAATTGTAAAATACAGCCCAAAGATGAGTAAAAGAGTTAACTTATGGGCACATTCAGTGCTGAAAAGCTTTGGCATAGCTGGAAGTTGGTGGTGATTCCAGAAAGTGAGTAGTTAGTAAGTTCTTGGGCTGACTTTTAAAAACATAAATATAGATGTTTAAAAATGATTGCATGTTTGCTGAATGAATTCACTCTTTGAAAACTAATGTTACCTTTTAAGATAGCAAATATTTGAATATGCAGAAAAGGTAAAACATAGAATGCGAGAAGTCATGTGCTATCCCATTACCTGCAGCATGCTGGTATATTGTCTATTAAAGTCTTTGCATAATTACAATCATATCATATTTTTAGTTACCATTTTTTTCATCTTTAGAAAGTTTCCTTATTTTAATGGCTGTAGAATAGAGTAAAATAGATGAATCTGAATTTATTCAACTAGTCTCTGATTGTTGCACAGAAATAAATACAAATTGAGTATATTTTTGACTACTATAAAAATCCTATAGTAAATATTTGAAATCTCAGTCTAGCTATTTTATTAGGTTAGATTCCTAAAGTGAAATTACTGAGTCAAAGAATGTAAGTTTTTAAAGACCATTTTTTATATACTTTGCTTACCATATAGTTTTTGACAATTTTAACTTCCACTAGCAATGCACAAGAGTTCTTTTCTTGCCACAGAAATTCACTAACTATGTAATGTTTTCAATATAAGTTTGCATAAAACAGTATTCTTTAGAAGGGAGGCAGTTTTATTTCTTTAAAGTCATAATTTCTATTAGGCAAATAAAATGTTTCCATAAAAAGATCATAATTTAATGATTGAATTATTAATATTTACATGCACTTCTTATATGCTATACAAATTTTAAGTTGGTAAACATACTCAGAGTAATCTTATTTAGATTAATTTGCCTAATTCTTTAATATATGGAGAAAGGTCAGCTACAACATAACTGATATCTGAATAATTATAATTTCTAAATTAATGTACTTTAAATGTATTTCGCTATAGCATAAAGTCAGTGATAAAATTATCTTTATTCTGCCGAACCTTAATTTTTATAAATATTTAATAAATTCTACTTCTAAATTTTTATGTCATGCAAAATTAATAAATTTAACAATGATTTTATTGAATCCAAAGAGTATTATATTCCCAAACCAAAATAAGGTAATATATTTATAGTTCATTTTGAACTAATGCAGACACTAATTTAATTCAATTTTATATTAACTAAATGTTGTTATTGTTAAAGTTTATGATTCAATGATTTATAAGGCATGATATCAAATTCAAGTTGGTTGTATTGATTGCCTAATTGAGTAAGTAGTGTGGGTGCTACCTAAAGCATTACAACAACAGTATATTTAGATTTTACTCATGATTTACATGCATGATTAGGGCATGATTTTAAATCAAAAAAGTTATTTAGAAAGAATATTTAATTAAATTTTCAGAAAATAAAGAAAATATTTTCTTCATAATAATAACATATATTACATGTTATATTATTCTCTAAACACTTATGCCACCTGAGTTCCAGTTTATCGAATTACTTTGTGAAATACAGGCATAATATTATACATTCATTCATTTTAACTCTTGCTCATGGAAATCTTATGTTCCTCTATTTTGGCATATTAAAATGTTAGAATGGTTTATTTTAGAAGCTATGTAATCCTGTCACCTGATACTAGTATTAGCCTCTATATAGAGAATAAAATATTAAAATTATAATAAATATAGGTCTATATGTATTCTTCTATATATTTAGGTTACATTTAATAGTTTCTTATTAAACCATTTAGTTAACTTTTGTTATTTTTAGCACTCGTATTATTTGTTATAAAAGTGAAATAGTCTCAGAAAAAGAAACATTATTAACTAATAATACTTTCCATTCTGTACAGTTCTTTGATGAGTTGTATGTTCAAGCTATTTTATATTGCTTTGCTTGCTACCTTGATAACATACCTTTATTGTGTAGGCACTATAAGCATGAGGATATGACAGACTTGTAAGCCTTGTCATATTCCATTTCCTGCAAATAAAAATTGCTCTGCAGTGTTCTGGCATTGACTTCTTGCTGTAATATAAATGGCAGCCCAAACATCCATGACCTTAAACATAATTAGCGTTATCACTAATGTGTGTTTTGTAAGCTAGTATTAGGTATAGTTGAAGGACGATGCTATCTGATCATGGTCACTTACAACCGGGATGCATTGCCTTGTTTTTAGAATTTTCTGGTAAGCGGATGGCAGCAGCCAATGTGAAGTAGTTGCCTGGAAGTAAGACTCCTAATGGAATACTGAATAAAATATTTCCCTTTAGCCAAAAGTTTCCATTTTTCTTGATTCTTCTTTCTTACCTTTTCCTCTTCTGTGCTACTCTCATCTATTTTCTCCGTATTTTCTTCTCTCCTTTCCACTGTTTTTCTCCTTGGTAATCCTCTTTCTCTCCCTCAGATTCATACTTATTCTGTCTTCTCATTTTTGACATCTGGCTCCACCACCAGTGGAGGTCTGTGTGATTGTGTACTCATTCATTCTTCATCCATCCATTCACTTGTTCCTAAGTAAGAAATTATTGAGTCTGCTCTATGTTAGACTTATGCAATGACATTATAGAGGGAATATGGATAACAACAATATCTGTTTTTTTTGTTTTTGTTTTCTTTTTTTTTTTCTTTTTTTTCTTTTTTTTTTTTTTTGAGACGGAGTCTCGCTCTGTCACTAGGCTGGAGTGCAGTGGTGCGATCTTGGTTCACTGCAACCTCCGCCTCCCGGGTTCAAGCGATTCTCCTGCCTCAGCCTCTGGAGTAGCTGGGACTACAGGCATGCGCTACCACGCCCAGCTAATTTTTATATTTTCAGTAGAGATGGAGTTTCACCATGTTGGCCAGGATGGTCTTGATCTCTTGACCTCATGATCTGCCTGCCTCAGCCTCCCAAAGTGCTGGGATTACAGGCGTGAGCCACCACACCCGGCCAACAATATGTGTTTTTATTGAGAGTTTGCTATATGTCAGGCACTATTTTCAGTGCTTTATATATCTTAACAAATTTAGTCTTTACAACAGCCTTAAGAATAGGCCCATTTTTTAGTCTTCATTTTACTGATAAAAGAACTGAGGTACACAGTAGTTAAGTAAGTCGCCCATGGTCACACAGTTAAGAAGTGGCAGAGGCTAGAAGACATACTCCATCTTTAGAGTGCTCAGATTTAACCACTGTTATCTTTCCTTTTAGATATTTGAGCATGCTATTATGGCACGATGTAGTGTGGCTATAGTGGAGATGCAGTGGGATCTTTGGGAGAAGGAGCCCCACAACTGGGAAAACTGGGAAATGCTTAACAGTGACTCTTGAACAGATTTCCCGAAGTCACCTCCTTTTAAATTTTTGAAAAATAAAATTACACCCAGACATTATCAGCTGTTGATAAAAGTAAAAAGCACTGAGTCCATGATTAGAAGGGGAGAAGAGCATTTGCTTGTTTTTGTTAACGGGTGTGTGTTAAAACATATAGGTGTATATTGCATTTAATAGGTTTTTCTTTATTTTTTTTTTTTTGGTGCTTATATCTAGAGACATTTGGCAGCTGATAATTGATACTTAATACCAAGCTTTGGAAGAGTTGTAATAAGGACCTCAGAGTCAAAATCAGCAGAGTTTTCTTCCTTCAAGTTTCCATATCTTTAATTAAACCACATCAAATGAAATAAATAATTTAGGTCTGGAATAATTTAGGTATTGAAGTGAATTTGAGAATTTGAGTAGATTGTGAATCTCACTTGTTAAACTATCCAGTTGCTTAAAGTTAACACTCTACTAACCATTACTAGTCATCACACACTAAAGTTAATATGGTATATAGAACGGAAGTGGTCACAGAAGAATCATTATATCTATATCCATTTAATAAGTGATAAAACACAAGTGAAAATAGAGGTTCATAATTATTTTCAAACTTGTACAGAAAAGAGAAAACTATTACTTTTTGGTCTACAAATACACAAGAAAAAGATGTCATTAATTTATATCTTTGCTGTCATAATATCATTCCTCATATATTTGTTCAATTCTGGAAAATTGCCAGAAGATAATATTTTAAATGTTGATCACTGTTGAATTTGCATAGTTCAAATCTATTTCTCATTGAATATATATACTACTGTGTTTTAGAAGCACTACTTTTTTTGCCTCAATTATTTATGTATGATGTCATTTTCCTACCTGTCCCTCTTGAAAAAGTATTTCTAACCATGGAACATAACGTGTTGTGAAAAATAACACTTTTATTGTTTTATTGTGTTTTGGCAACACACATAGCTCCCTTAGCTAATCTAGAGAAGAGCACCTCTTCACTTAATATGCACTCTGAAAATCTTGTTTGAAAGTTCTAGGTAACACAAAAATACAGTCTGGAGTACATGACCTATGACCTGTATCAGTAAGGAATTTTGACCTCATTTTAATCTGATCTTCTATCTGCTTTTTTCCTACTTCCTTTTGCACTGATATGATTTGTAGACATTAACACAAAGTAAGTAATAAAAATTGGCAATTGTAGTAATAATGTTGCTTCCAAAAGTATTTAAAAGACAGATAATTTGATGAATGTTTGCCTTTTAGCAAAAACTAATGGAAACTCCTAGCTCTGTTTTGTTTTTATGCTTTTCTGTTTCTTCACTAATTTCTGAAATTTTCAAATTTATTGAGCAGTCATTTTTGGAAAAAATGGAAAAAAATTCTGCTTTTATATTCCAACCATTCTTCTTCAACAATGTTTTGTTGCTTTTGAATTTTATCATGCTTTGGATATTAAAAACAAACTTACATTTAGAGGGAAATAAAGAGACACTCTAAAATCTAAAACACTTTGAGAGCAGCTATTGTAAGAAATACAGAAATGTCAATAGGGTGATAATCCTGACCCTAACTTAGAAAGCACTATGCTAGCTTTTGGCTGGTTGAGGAATCTGGGAATGATTTAGGTGGTACAGTGGATCAGTAGTATCATACCAAAGAGAGAAAAGGAAAGTATCTTTTATCACTAATTGGAAACTTTGTTTTCAAATATTTCTTGGATTATTTACAATACACATGGAACAGTGTGTCCACACAACCTTCACAGAAGTGTTAAGAAATTAGAATGGCAAATCCTCTTTAGAAATGTGTAAGTGCAGATAGTCACCATTTGAAATGAACACATCATGGTGGTGTGCAGTGGTGAGAAATGGTCAGTAACAATGGACATGATTTTGCAAAAATCCTTCATAAAAGGGAATTACAAAGAGATGACAATACCTTTTTTGGGATTCCTCATCCTCAGTCTCTTACTGCTTACTAAATGTGATCCTCATGTATGCATTTTAGGAGCATCAGCTTGCATAAGAAAATATTTTCATTTTAATTCATTACATAAAGAAGTATATTGGGTTGTGGCTTTGATATTTTTATGGCCGTGATAGTAATGCTGTATTTTAGATAATAGTAACATTCTATTTCCATAATTGTTTTTCCATATTAATTATACCATACCATCTCATAGGTGAACTTACTGTGGAAAAGATCTGAATGAACCATCATGCTTTAACCCAAGAAAAAAAAATTATGACTTCATGTCTCAAGTTAACATGGTACTTTCCTTGGGTAATCATTTATTATCATGGTAGGAAAACTAGATGTTCTCATGCTTTTTTAAATAATGGCTTCAATATTTCAATATGGATTTATTTCTTTCTTCAGGGCCGGTGCATAAACTTCTCCCGAGTTCCATCTCAGTAAAAGGGAAGCAGGAAGACCAAGAAGGTACGAAGATGGCACATTTTCACATAGCTGATTTTCAACCAAATGAAAAAAATCAAGTGCATTTCAGAAGCTTTTGGAAGAGCAGCTTAATTCCTCTCAGTCGGGAAATGTTTTCTCTGCCTTCTGCTTTGCTTGCACCAAACATTTCTAAACACTTGTTCTGCCATCTACATGGGAGGTGATGAAACTCAGTGGTAACTCATGATTTATGACATTGAAAATAAAGAGGAACATTGACCTGCAGACTATGGTTTGTACAAGAAAGTTTGTTTGAATGTGTAGAAGAGGAAAAAGCAACAACAGCAACAACACGAAGATGATACCAAAACAAGGACCACAAAACAACTAGCCATGATGGGAGACAGGAGTTTTTTACATGGAAACATGGCACTTGTGTTTTTATGTGGCAAGATCTTTATCCATAGGCAGAGTATGAAATTTCCCACCAGGCTAAGCAAATAAAGAAGTCCATTGCCTTATAGCTATGTCAGATCACAGAATCCTTCCAAGTGCTCTATCACAGTGTGCCTTATGGGAAGTTTCTGACTGGAAAATCTTGTCATTCTAACACTGAAAAGTGCACACGCATGACAAAATGTAGACAAGATGCCTCAAGGTATTGGTAGCAAGCAAGATTTTGCCCTTTAGTTTTCGAAGACACCTTTCTTTCATTATGCACTCGGGACAAGAAAATTAATAGAGCGTTATTCCACAGAAGGCCTCTAGCCAGAGATCTTGAGTGTAGTGCAAGGGACTCATTTTTTGCGAACTTGTCCCTGTGACTAGTAGATTCCCCCTTTTCCTGTGTTTAGGATTTAGTAGTGCATAAAGCATTAATATCCATAAACATACCTAGAAGTTTGTTTTGCTTTTAATTTAAAGGAAGCAGTAACCACAAAGCTTCCGCTCAGGGTTTTTTCTTTCTTCAAGTCTCCAAGGGCTCTTCAGCGTCACAAGCCAGCAACTCTCTTTGCATTAAAATTTCAAAGTTTAATTAATATAATTAAAAGCAACAGCAAGCAGCAGCCTGTGAAGATTTTGCTCATCTTTTTTATGCCTTTTGACATTGAATGACCTATTACTGTATGCGCATTACTTGGATTTTGAGGGGCACTCTACCTTGGTTATGATTCAGTAGAGGAAAAAGACCACCTTTCTTCAATTTACAAATTAAATCTTCTGGAGGGTCGCTATCACAAAACATTGACGATGTATGTATTATAATTTTTTAGAAAAACCACCATCGTGTCACGTCGACGATGCCAAATTATGTTAGCGTGAGCAGAAACACCGTGGGGGAGGAAGGCAGCAGCTGAAGAAAAAAGCTCAAATGATCTAGTCACTTTCGATACTGTACTTCAGATGCGAAATGGATATTCGAGTGGAAACCTGACAAAGTGCGCCTGCTTTGATGTGAACTGGTATAGACAATGACCAGTGGCTGGGTCAGTGGGATGTCTCTCTGTGAGCACAAAGGCTTATCAAATGACACTAAAAATAAGTTCAACAACCATCACATTGGAAGGGAGAAGGCGAACATTTCATGTTTGGCGGGCATGTGAGTGCACAAGATGGAAAGAGCGATTGGAGCATCCTGGTATAATTACCCCCATTGTGCTCTTAATGGAAATTTCAAAGGACGGGAGTATTCTGTTGGTTGGTGTCCAGGTTTGTGGCACTGTTCCAAGAGGCCTTACACACACACACAAATATATAATTTTCTATACATATATATCCTCTAGCTTGAAACTTTTGCTCAAGTTTATTTATGTCACTGGCTGGCTGGATCCAAAGTCATGTGTCCACACATTCATAAATAAAAATTTTACCTATGCCTGTGCTACCATTTCTTTAAGCCCACATAAAGCTAATGCCTTCTTGGGTTGAATATGCAGTTGTTATGCTTAGTTTCAGGGATGGAATTCTATTCAGTTCCAAAATGTCCCTCATGTTCACAGATGATACTATTGGCAGTAGCTGCATATGCAAGTGTAACTTGGAAGCCTGATATAGTATACCCAACCCTTTCTGCAATGAGTTATTGTATCCCTTTGTTCTGCATTTGCATCTGGAACAAGACCTAATGTGGCTTCCTTAAATGGGCACTTCATTTCTGATGAGTGCACACCAATTATTGCTATTTTAATATCATTGAGAATACTACAGAAGCTAAGGCTATGTTTCTTTGGTAACTACTTCAAATTTCTCTAGAATTATGTAGCATACTTACATTTTGCTGCATGAACAATGAAAATTAACCTCTGCCTTTAAATGGAAAAATAACTTTCTGTAGATTGTTATACAGCTACTATGAAGAGCTCTTAATGAAGAGGAAGTGGCAGTGGTCTATATGTAGACTGAAAAAATATCATTAATAAAGTTCAAAGACTGATGGAATTTCATTGCCCTTAAAGATATGAACCAGATCTGTTTTATGCTTTTCTCCAATTATACTAACTAGCAGTTGAAAAGAATTTGTTTTGAAGAGTGTTATTTTCTTACCAAAAGACCAGATCAAAAATCCCTATACTTTTCCACCAAAAAAAGATTAAAATGAAGCCATTTCTATAAATTTAATGGCACTTTATATTTTATATAGAGAAATAGCTTCTGTTTGATTTTCTGGACACCATGTCAGTCAAGATCTACTTTCTGTGTAAAAATGAATAAGTCTTGCACATAATCCATTCGTGTTGCATAAGGTTGCAAAAACAATTAAGTGGGAAATGACTCCTAACTTATGTGTCTACTCTGCCTAGAAAGAAAGTTTTGAAGGCATCTATATATATTTCATAACAATGTCTGTTCTTTATGGATTTGATCCATAAATATTTATCTATCTGAAAACTTTGATACTTGGAATGTTTTCCTTAGAGCATTTGGTGCTCCAAGAAAAAACATTTGGTGCTAAGAGTTGCAGCACTGATGCCTTTCCCTAAGTTAATTCTATTTTAAAAATTTATATTTCCTTCCCAATGAGATGCAGAGTAAAATTTGAGACCCTCCATTGACTAGGGAGCAGCATCTGTCATCTATGGTTAATTACTATTTTGACAAAAATATAGAAGGTTTAAACCCCCATGTATTTCAGATTGTTAGAGAAAGAAGTAGTTTGCTTATATTTCCCTTGAACTTTATTCTAACCATTTAAATAATAAATTATTCAATATTTGTTATAATAAATCCTTACTAGATACAAGATTTGGGTGTTTCTGTGAAGTTAACTTTATTATCTAAATATCACTAACCATTGTTTACTGCTCAGAGGCAGATACATTTGTTTAGTTTAAAGTTGAAACAAATTCTATATTGTGGATAATTAGGTGTTTAAAACATTTTGATAGACCAGCTTATATATGTTATTTTTGAAATTTAAGAAGGCAGAATGTAATTAGGTCACATTTACAAGTAGAAGGAATTATAACTTCCTACTCCATGCATATATTGTATATTGGTTAGCTTTTACTAGCATTTTCTAGCATCACATTACTTTAGAAAGTTTTTGAGAGTTTCATTACTACTGGAAAAGTTTGGTGGGTATATGTACACAGGAAAGAAATATATGCATCATTTCAATATGAAAGGAAATACATAATCTAGAAACATAGAATAACTCTTGGTACATCTGTTACATAGTTAAGGAAAGAAACAGGCAGGTGAGGCTGGAGAATGTTGTCTATTTGTAGGAAATAAAGTCAGTGCAGACGCATATTCTAGTTTAGAGTTAGATTAATATTGTGCTTAGTGAATTTCTATGACATATTTCTGAGAACACTTTAATATATTTCCACACCTACTGGAATCTAATTCAGTCGATCGGATAAAAGAAAGACTTTTTTGTTGTTGTTTTTGAAAATCCATAATGTAGCAGGTTCTGCGCTGGTTTTTTAATGTATTTTATTTTTGTGCTCTCCTGCCAAAAGAAAAGGCTGATAAGTAAGTACACAGTACAACATGTAAATTTGTATAAAAATATGCTTGTTTAGATTGCTCTACAATAACTATATTAAGGTAAATTGTGTGTGTGTGTGTGAGAGAGAGAGAGAGAGAGAGAAACAGAGGGAGAATTGACTCAATGTGTTTTCTATGAAGAGTCTTAGCTTAGGAATCAGGTAACAGAGAGGTCCTAGACCATAGACCCAGCCATCAACTAGCTTGCTGATGTTGAACAGATCAACTCTCAACCATAGACTGAAGATGGAATGAAGATATCAAAAGTTCCTTTTAGCACTGACTAGATTTTTTTTCTTTTTTTTGAAACAGAGTCTCACTCTGTCACCCAGGCTGGAGTTCAATGGCATGGTCTGGGCTGACTGTAACCTCCTCTTCCTGGGTTCAAGTGATTCTCATCCCTCAGCCTCCTGAGTAGCTGGGATTACAGGCACATAACACCACACCCAGCTAACTCTTGTATTTTTGTAGAAATGGGGTTTCGCTATGTTGCTCAGACTGGTCTCAAACACCTGGCCTCAAGTGATCCTCCTGCCTCAGTCTCCCAAATGCTGTGATTACAGGCACAAGCTACTGCACCAGGCCTCTGACTACATTTCTATTAATATGGTTAGGTTGGAGGTTTTAGTATTTTTGTATCTCATATTTGTATCAATATGACTGGCTTCTTTGTCTGTAGTGTGTGGTAATATTAGTTCTGTAAACTGTCAGTTGCAAAAAAAAAAAATACCTTGAACTATAGTATATGTTGATAATTAGCCATAATAATTTCTTAGTTAATTTCTTATAATTAAATTTGTCAAAGAGGAAACTTACAGTTTATATCTGATGAAATCTCTAAAAAGATGGGTAAAACATTGGGAAATGTATGCATGTACTTCACTCTGGTTTCATAGGGTTAGCAAGTGTCTTAAAAACATATATAAAGAAGCACAGAGATTGTTAGGAGATATTTATGCTCCCAGTTTTAATAATTGGGATACTTTGTATACCACAGAAAGAAAAATTACTAAACTCCTCTTTTTTTAGTCAAAATTGGAAAAAAAGTCTTAATTGACAGTTACTATGCCTGTGCTACCCATAGCAAGTATTCAGTGGAAAATACTTTACTAAGTAAGTAATTTGAACACAGCTTAAAATCCATAGTATGTTACAATTGCTAGCCTTTCACAAAGTTTGCATTGTCTTAATGTAGAAGGATACTGTGATCTAAGAATTCACAATTTTAAAAAGTGGAACCTAAATAGGGTTTCCTAATTGCCATGAAGTTATTTGTATCTTAGATGAATTATATTTACAACATTGTAAATGTCAGTGGGTGATCCAAAATAAATTGTTAAAGTTATTAAAATGTACATTTAAGTAGGTTTCAGTTTGACTAGAAATAATTGGCAAGAAGGCAAGAACTAGTCTTCTAGAGCAGGGATCCCATCCCCCAGGTCATGGACTGGTACTGGTCCATGGCCTGTTAGAAACCAGGCCACACAGCAGGAGATGAGTGGAAAGCAAGTGAAACTTCATGGGTATTTACAGCAATTCCCCGTCGCTCGCATTACCACCTGAGCTGTGTCTCCTGTGAGATCAGCAGCAGCATTAGATTCTCAAGGAGCACAAACCCTTTTGGAACTGTGTGTGAGGGATCTAAGTTGCGCATTTCTTATGAGAATCTAATACCTGATGATCTGTTGTTGTCTCCCACCACCCCCAGATGGGACCATCTAGTTGCAGGAAAACAAGCTCAGGCTCCCACTGATTCTACATTATAGTGAGTTGTGTAATTATTTCATTATATATAACAATGTAATAATAATAGAAATAAAGTACATAATAAATGTAATCCACTTGAATTATCCTGAAACCATCCCCACCCCCCACCCCCCGGTCTGTGGAAAAATTGGCTTCCACGAAACTGGTCCGTGGTGCCAAAAATATTGGGTATGGTTGTTCTAGGGTGTAGACTATGAAAAAGATATGCATTGTCTCCATGAACTAAAAGGCAAGGTGATTTTAAACAATTTAGATGCCAAACAAAGAAACCAAAAGCTTCCAAAGTAATAAATGATAGAGAAAGGAAATTGTTACATCATGTGCCAAATTAGAAGCAAATCTAAACTTCTTATCATGTACTCCACCATCTGATTTGTATAAGTAATTGGGGAAAGAAAAACTCACAATATAAAACAAGATTGACTAGTTCTAGCAGATGACACCTGTAAATAGAATTTTTACTAGTTGAAATTCTGATGTGAAATGAAGCCATTATTATTATCACAATAAAGTGTTCTTTTTAGTTCTTTTTTTAATATCCTCTAGTTCTGAAAGTCTCTGTTAATTAAACAGCAATGACAGACCTGCATCTTCTGTAAATACTTTGTTTGTGTGAGGCTGTCACATGGAAAGAAAGATTATATTTTAAACAATATGTTCAAGTGTAAAAAATCTTCAACAAATTCTTAATGTTTTACAAAATGGGGAAAAATTTTAGTAGTTTTAACATCTTGGAATTCTTCATAATAAGCTAGGTGTCTCAGAAAGCTTGAAAGGATTTTAAATAATTATTTTAAAGGATATCAAAGACTAAATTGTGACCTGGAATATTCAGTGTACTTTTTCTCATTTTTAGAGGTAGTGATATGATTACAATAACACAATACTAAAAAAAGAGAAGAAAATTACAATGACATTATTGGTAGCTCAGCATCTCTGTATTACTGTCAACACTCAAAAAGCTCTGAGGTGGTGAATTTATACAGTTAAATCAATGATTTTTAAAATTCTAACTCAAAATGATAGAGAAAAGCCAATCTATAATTTATTTTAAAACTATAACATTTATTGAGCTGGCAGAGTAAAAATATCATACTCCTCAAATTATTCCTTTAAAATCATTAATAAAACAGAAGGTATCACTTTGCCTTAAAAATATTTTCCTTAATTTCAAAAATCAGTCTGATAAATCTCAACCCAGGGTCATTACTGCATATGTTTATCATTTCTAACTTTTCAAGAACACTTTGAACATCAATTAACTCGAGAAGAGAGGGCTTGTATTAGTTTCCTCTTGCTGCTGTAACAAATTACCACAGTTGCTTAACACAACACAAATGTATTCTCTTACAGTTCTGGAGATCAGAAGTCCCAAATCTATTTCAATTAGGTAAAGTTAAGGTTTCAAGAGGACTAGCTCTTTCTAGAGGCTCAGAGAGAAGAACTTATTTCTTTGCCTGAAGTAGCTTCTAGCGGCTGCCAGTATTCCTTAGCCTGTGGCCCCTTCCTTCATCCTCAAAGCCTAGCACTCCAAGCTCTGCTTCAGTCATTGCATCCCCTGTTGTGACTGCTCTGCTGCCTCCCTCTTATAAGGACCACTCTGACCACATTGAACCCACTTAGATTATCCTAGATAATCTTTCTGCGTCAAAACCCTTAACATAATCATGCCTGCGGAGTCCTTTTTGCCGTAGAAGGTAACAATCACAGGTTCTGGGGATTAGGATGTGGACATCTTGAGGGTCCATTGTTCAGCCCACAACAAAGCTTATAATCATTTTCATTTCATTGAATATTTGCTTGTATCTGACACCATAAGAAGATATACAAGATGAATTCTGCTTTCTACTTTAGAACCTTACCTGCCCAAATTTCTTGTTACACTGTTTTTTTGTTTTGTTTTGTTTTGTTTTTGTAACTCCATTTGTCCCCTTTCTACTGCTTTATATTTTACTTGAGATTTTTCTCAGAAAAGGAAAAATGCCAGGGAATAAAGTTTTTTCGCCAGATGAAAAACTTCGTCCAAAACTGAGAAACACATGTCAGGTTATTGTTGCCTCTGGAGCATTTACTTGGCCTATCTGCACATGCCCGGAAGTTAAACCTAGAGTCAGTGCCTATAATATTTTCTTCTGTCATACTGAAAATCCACTTAGAAGGTATTGAAACATCACCAGCGACAAAGAACAAAAATAAGTTGACATTCTAATGTTAACATCAGTAATAGACATATGAATCTTAGAAAGCTTTCCCCACCTGCTAATTGTTTTTTCTAGAATAAAAAAAAAAAAAGGAGAGTGATTTTAAAGTCGATAAAACTAGGCCGAGTGTGGTGCCTCATGCCTGTAATCCCAGCACTTTGGGATGCTAAAGCTGGTGGATTGCCTGAGGTCAGGAGTTCGAGACCAGCCTGCCCAACATGGTGAAACCCCATCTCTACTAAAAATACAAAAATTACCCAGGCGTGGTGGTGGGCACCTGTAATTCCAGCTATTCGGGAGACTGAGGCAGGAGAATTGCTTGAACCCAGGAGGTGGAGGTTGCAGTGAGCCGAGATAGTGCCACTGCACTCCAGCCTGGGTGAGAGAGCGAGACCCTGTTTCACAAAACAAAAATAAAAATAAATAAATGCAATAGAACTAACACCCATTTTAAATATTTTTCAAGTAGTAATCTCAAAGAAGACATCAATAAAATTGAGAAACTTTAAAATGAAAGAAGTAAAAGGGATCAGATTCTCCCGGTAGATTTTCCCTAAAACATAACATTATGTGCCATGCACCTTGAGTTCTCAGAAAGAAATTATTGTATACACGCAATAGGAATAGTTTCCACATCTCTCATATTTTTGTACTTTATATAGCTACACATGCACACACAGACACTCCTTTCTAAGTACTGTTACATTTGAAAATGCTATGAATGACCTACAATATGAACTTTCATGCACTTTGTGATCCTAAGCCTATCCCTGATTATTCATGTGAAGTAATTTGACATCTCTAAATAGTGAGTTCCTAACATGTTTAGAGGAAATCAGGCAAATCACTTGATAACATTAATAACATATTATTTTACAATTTTCCAAAGTATTTTTATATATTTTTTGTTGTTTTTATTTAATAAATATATACCAGATGCACATGACATATACAGTGCTAATTTGGCCAAAATCTAGGCAAATTTTATGATAAATTGCATTATAAGGGTATGGGTGAAGGGTGGAAGGACCTTCTCTTGAAACTCAGTAAAAAAGTCTTATAGCATGAATCCTGAGTGGCCCATTTAAAGATAAACCCTGATCACATAAAATGAGATTTAATGCTAAATGAGGCCTGTTTTATACAGGTGCCCCTAGATAAACTGTGCGGCTGAGAGTATCTCATTTTGCTGCCACACAATTTTCAGTGTACATTAACAGCCTTCCCGTGAAATCAAAATGCTTTTAAATCATTCTATTTGTTGCAAAACATTACTTTGGCCTATGTACAGAGAAGTTTAGCCACATAAAAATTTAATATCCCCTAAGGGTAAACAAAACAAAACAAAATACCATAAAAATGATGAGGTTAAGAAGGTTTACATGATTCCTAGCAAAAAGCAGGGGTTCCTAGGAAATTATTTTCAGGGCTAGCTGAAGGACCTTTTGATAGCGATCATTGCTTTATCACAATTGCAGAAGCAGTTAATGTTGGACAAGAAAGGAAAGAAAACCCAAGACAGTGAAAGGATAATTAAGAGTCTTAGTTTTAATTTCCAAGGATTATATGGTGACGTGATTATTTCACAATGGAAAACTGAACAGATAGATTTATATTTTGCTGTTTTACCTTGTGATAATAAGCTATCCCAGGTATTTATTCTATTTTAACAGCAACATGTGCTCCTCATTTTACCAACTGATCCACACAAAGCAGGTAAAGAAAAATGTTGCTTTGGATGAAACCAGGCACTTCAACTTTACAGCCCTCCACAGCTCTCTACTTTTCTGATAGCCCCTGGAGAATGGCATGAATGACGTCTCTGGGGTGGAGTCCTGGATGTTAGCTGTGCTTAATAGCCAGAAGTGAAAAACCCTTCCAATTAAGCAAAAGATGATAGGTCAGGGAGTCTGGTTTTATTGGCGATAGAAAGGAGCCAAAAACTGACCAAGAAGGTCAGCCATCATGCAGCAATTATACCAGGGATGAAGACCAACAGTAAGAACAAAGCAGAGAGAAAGGAAACTGCCTTGAATTTGAGCATTTATCAGCTTAATTAATGAATATTGGCAGATGCCTGTCTTGTGCCCGTCTCTGCAGTAGACAATGGGATACTGCAGCAAGAAAGATAACTATTCTCAGCAATCTTGTCTGCAAGTGAAGACAGACACTGATAAGATGCAAGTGTCATGAGATCTGTAAAGGGGAAATTTAGAAGTGCGATGAGAACATGTAATGGGAAGGGGCTAGCCTAGCTGGAGTCATTAGAGAAGGCAGTGAAATGTTTGCTGAAACTGGGAAAATGAGTACATGTTTCCCTCCTTCCTCCCTCCCTCCCTCCCTCCCCCTTCCTTCCTTCCTTCCTTCCTTCCTTCCTTCCTTCCTTCCTTCCTTCCTTCCTTCCTTTTCCTTCCTTTCCTACTTACTTAGCAACACACCTGGCAAAATGTCTGGCAAATAATAGGCTCTTAATAAATGTATTGATGAGCTGGAAAATTATTATTCAGACTTCTAGTTTCTGCAAGAGAAAGAAGTCCCATTCTTACTAGGTCCTGCCTCTTACAATGAAAAAACCCTGGACAACAACAAAAAAAGAGTCCCAACAACAACAACAACAACAAAAAAGAGTCCCAACAACAACAAAAAAAGAGTCTCTGAAATGTGTCAAGACTGCTTAAGGTCCTCAGACTTGAGGAACAATACGAAGGCGAATCCTGGGTTTCTTTATTGTTCCACATATTTCAGACAGGATACTGCAGAGACCTCCAACAAGGAATGTCAGCAGGCACAGACACTAGTACCTCCCTTGAGACAGAACCTATATTGATGGGTACAGAGCACAAGTAGGCGTATCTTGTCACCTAGCGTACACCTTGAAACATGAATTAAACAACAGAGATTGGCAGAGTGGATTAAAAAAAGATTCCCTAACAATATGCTATCCACAAGAAACTCACTACAAATATAATAACATAGATTTCAAATAAAAGATGAAAAAAGATATACTATGCGCATATAAATTTTTAAAAAAGCAAGAGTGACTATACTAATAATCAGATAAAGTCATCTTCAGGACAAAGAATATTACTAGAGACAAAAAGAGATATTATATAATGATAAAAGAGTCAGTCTTCCAAAAAGACATAATATCCTTAACATACACATGCCAAAAACAAAAAAAAAGAGGAGAGCCTCAAAATACATGAAGCAAAAATTGACAGAGCTGATAGAGGAGAAATAAATAAATCAACAGTTATAGCTAAACACTCAAATACACAAATCCCACCAATTGATAGAACTACTAGATAGAAAAGTCATAAGAATATAGAATTGAACAACGTAACCAATCAACAGTATTTAATTGACATATATATATAGCACCAACTACCAAATAGCAACAGAATATACATTTTTTTCACATGCCCATGGAACATTCATTGAAACAGATCATTTTCTAAGAGGCTGCATTATCCCACATATTTTGATATGCAGGGAGGGAAATATGTAGCACTAAATGCTTACATTAGATAAAAGGAATAGTCTCAAGTCAATAAATTCTTGCCTCTGGAAACTCGGAGAAAAAGGGTAAAATAAACTAAAAACAAGTAGAAGAGAGAAAACAGTAAAAATAATAACAGAAATCAATGGAATTGAAAACAGAAACACAATAGACAAAAATCAATGAAGCAAAGAGCTGGTTCTTCAAAAGAATCAACAAAATTGATAAACCTCTGGCAAGACTGACAAAGATTTTTTAAAAAGACAATAATCATCAATGTTGGAAACAAGATAGATAATGTCACTGGAGATTCTTCAGCCGTTGAAAGGATAATCAGAGAACATAATGAACGGCTTTCCTTAGAAATTTCTTAATGACAAGCAATGGACCAATTCTTCAAAAACCAGAAACTAACAAAACTCAACTAAGATGAAACAATCTGGATAATCAATAACCATTAAAGAAATTGAATTTTAATTACCCCAAGCCCCAAAATCCAGTTCTACACCATTTCACTGGTGAATTCTCTCAAACATTTAATAAGGAATTAACACCAATTTTCACAATCTATTCCTTGGAAAAATAAAGGAAGTACTTTCCAACTCATTTTATGAGGCTACAGAACCAGACCAAAAATGTATTTAAAAAAACACACAAAAGTAAACTATACCATTATCTCTCATAAACTTAGGTAATAAATTGTCAACAAAATAATACATGTTGAACCCAGCAATGTATAAAAATAACTGTATACCATACAAAGTAGTAGTAGTTTCAGATGTGCAAGGGCCGATCAACTTTAAAAAATCTATGTAATCTATGATATCAACGGACTAAAGAAGAAAAACTATATGCTCATGTCAGTTGATGCAAATAAAGCATTTAGCCAAATCCAATATTTATTACTGATGAAAACTCTCAGCAAATTAGGAACAAAGGGTAACTTCTGAACTTCACAAAAGAGAATCACAAAAAATCTATATCTAATATCATACTTAATGGTGAAAGACTGAATGTCTACTTAAAATCAGAGACAAGATAAAGATGTCTACTCTCAGCCATTCTTATTATTCAGCATAGTCTCAGCAAGAAAAAGAAACAAAAGACATACACATTGGGAAGGCAGAAATAAAACTGTCCATACTTACAGAAGACACAATTGTCAATGTAGAAAATCTTAAAGAATCTACAAAAATACTCCTAAAGCTGATAAGTAAATTCACAGGGTAAGTAGTTTCACAGACTACAAGATGATTATACAAAAATCAATTGCATTTGTATATATTAACAATAAAAATGCGGAAACAGGAATTTGAAACACTATATCATTCACAATTACTTCAATAAAATGATATACTTATGTATAAAATTAACACACAGGCTCCATGTATTAAAATTTACATAATACTAATGAAAGAAATTAAAGTCCTAAAAAATGGAGAGACATGTTATTGAACTGGAAGACTCAATATAGTAAAGATGTCAATTCTCCCCACACTAATCTATGGGCTTAATACTATTCCTATCAAAATTCTAGAAAAGCCTTTTTGTATGCATACAAAACCTTACCTAAAGTTATATGCAAAAACACAGGCCCTAGAATAACTAAACAATTCTGAAAAAGAAGGAAAAAGTGAGAGGAGTTATGCTATCCAATTATTAAGCCCTATTAGCTTCTGTGATCAAGATAATGTGGTATTGGAAGAAAGATAGATAGATACACAAATAAATAAAACAGAATAAAGAACTCAGAAATAGACCTACAAATATGCCTGGCTGATTTTTGACAGAGGTACAAAAGCAATGAAATATAGGAAGAATATTATTTTCAATAAACGGTAATAGAACAACTGACCTTTTTGCTTTGTGAAAGACCCTGTTAAGAAGATGTAAAAACAAGCTACACACTGGCAGAAAATATTTACAGAATTTGCATCTGACAAAGAACTATTATCTAGAATATATAAATAACTCTCAAAAGTTACCAGTAAAACAACAATAAAATCCCCTCAACAAAGAAACTAAAATGGGCAAAAAAAATAGACATTTTAGTAAAGAGGATACATAGAGGGCAAATAAGCATATGAAAAGACATTCAACCTCATTATTCACTATGGAAATGCAAATTAGAACCACAATGAGATGTTATTTCACACCTATCAGAATGGCTAAACTAAAAAGTAGTAACAACATCAAATGCTGATGAGGATGTAGAAAAACTAGATTTCTACAACGTATTACTCATATATTGTGTGGTGTAAATGTAAAATGGTAAGGCTACTCTGGGAAACATTTTGGCAGTATTATAAAACAAAACATGTAATTACTATAAGGCCCGAAAATTGCACAATTGAGCATTTATCCCAGATAAGTCAAAATAAATGTTCACAGCAGCTTGACTTGTAGTTGCAAAATCTGAAAACAACTTAGATATCCTTCAGCTGGTGAATTTTTAAACAATCTGTAGTATAGTCATATTTGGAATACATCTCAATAATAATAAAGGAATGAACTATTGGTACACACAGTAACTTGGATGAATCTCCAGTGAATTATATTGAGTGAAAAATGTCAATCCCAAAACGTTACATACTGCACAACAAAATGATAGAAATGAAAAAGTAGTTGCCAAGGGTAAGGGACCAAGTAAAGACAGGAAGACAGGTAAGGCTATAAAATGTCAAAAGGAGAGATCCTTGGAACAATGATATTTTCTCTATTGTGACTGTCCTAGTGCTGATATCCTAGTTGTGATATTGTACTATTCAAATACTATGGCTTTAGAAGATGTTATCATTAGATGCCTGATATAGGATATACAGACTCCCTCTATTATTTGTGTATGAATATACAATTATCTCAAAATGAAAAGGTAAAAGAAACTCAAAAAATGATATTTCTAATGTTAAATAAACATTCTACTACTAAGTTTTGATGATGTATTGTGTAGACTATATTTCATAGAATTATTTTTATTTTTAATTGTATACTATTTTTCACTTTAAAATATTGTTTTAAAATGTATTATACAGTAATTTTGACATTTTTGGTGAGCATGTATGTGTGCATGTGTGAAGTTCTGTGAACCATAATATATTTATAGATTTGTATAAACACTACTACAATCAGAATACAGAATAGTCCCACCCCCCCAAAAGACCTTCTCAAATCATCCCCTTTTAGTCACAAACCCCTCTCCAAAGCTGACAGGCTCTACATTATTATAGCTTTACCATTGTGAGAATGAAAAATAAATGGAATTATATATTAATAGTATGGAAACTTTTGAGACTGGCTTCTTTCACTCATCCAAGTTGCAGCATATATAAATAGTTGATGTTATTTATTACTGAATAGTATTCCACTGTAGGGATATGCCACAATTTGTTTATCTGTTCACCTGTTGATGGACATTTGTGTTGTTTTCAGTTTTTTGCAATTATGAATAGAGCTGCTATGAACATTTATATACAAGCCTTTGTATGATTATGTTTGTAAACATATGAACATTTGTATACAAGCCTTTGTATGTTTATATTTGTATGCATATGTTTATGAACATATGCATCTTGCTTGGGTAAATAGGAAAGGGACAATGATAGGTACATTTTAACTTCTTAACAACTGCCACACTGTCCCCCAAAGGGATTGTAGCATTTTATATTTCAAAAATTTTTGTTTCTGACTTGTAGCCCTTCAATGGCTCCAGTTTGTCCGTAGGTTAAGAAATTTAAAGACTTTACCATGGCAGGTGTGTCAGTCAAGTTCTTTGTGGCATTCGATACAAATGAAATATATAAGTAGCCCATAAGCCAGCACTTCCTGAGCCTGCTTTTCTGACCTGGGTGACTATGCCTAGAAAATCAAATGAAAGGACATGAAAGGCACAGATACACCGGAAAGATCAGAGGGTAGGGAATAAAATACCAGGTTGAGGAAGCAAACATATATGTAGGAAATATTTGAAGTCAGATCTCTAACCAAAAATTTTATAAGTAGACCAGTCTGATACAGACACTGCTGTTGCCACAAGCAAACACATAGGCTGTGACTTCCACCTAGATTTATAAGGAGATGAAATTCCTGAATTATATGATTGGGACGCAAATGTTGTACAACCAAAAGTGTGGTGAAATATTTGCCAGAACATATGATGTTTTTTGTAGTCTAGAGTCTAGCTCTCTGTCAACCTGGTCACTTACTATCTACATCGAAATCACACAATTAAGTATGTTTGAAATTGCTGCAACATTCAAGTAGCTTGATTATTTTTATTATTTTCACAAATTGACTGATGTTGCTGTTTCTTTTTTTTTCCCTGAATTATAGCACAAGGGGTTAAGCTTTCCTTTGCAGAAGAGCTAATTAACACCTGTGTGTGAGTGTGCATGTGTGTAACTGTGTGTATGTGTGAACATTCTTTTGAACTACTTGAACTTGTTAGTTTGATTCAACATTAAAAGGCCTCAAGGCCACAGCTATAATGAGATTCACATTTTGGAGTTTACATTGGTATAGTAATACATTTCATGCCGTTGGTCTATAATTTGCCTAATCAAATAAAATGAGATCAAGCATTACACTGGAATGGTCCAACCTCCCCATTCATACAAAGTTACATTTAGCTAATCACATAAGAAACTACTCCTTTCCCAGGGATTTTTTTGCATTTGTAAGCTAGTTAGAAGGCTGAATTTAATCAGTGTATTCTATTCCTCTATTAATATCTACTGAGCCCTTGAGATATAGCCAGAGGGGCTGATAAACTAAATTTTCAATTTTATTTAATTTTAATTAATTTTAATTTAAATAGCCATGTCCTGTGACTAGTGTCTACTCTATTGGACAGCACAGGTATAAAGGTCCATAAACTCACTTCATTCATACATACACTTAGTCATTAAAACTATAACTTGTATTTATGACAAACCCACAGCCAATATCATACTGAATGGGCAAAAATTGGAAGCATTCCCTTTGAAAACCAGCACAAGACAGGGAGGCCCTCTCTCACCACTCCTATTCAGCATTGTATTGGAGGTTCTGGCCAGGGCAATCAGGCAACAGAAAGAAATAAAGCGCATTCAATTAGCAAAAGAGGAAGTCAAATTGTCTCTGTTTGCAGATGACATGATTGTATATTTAGAAAACCCCATCATCTCAGCCCAAAATCTCCTTAAGCTGATAAGCAACTTCAGCAAAGTCTCAGGATACAAAATCAATGTGCAAAGGTCACAAGCATTCCTATACACCAGTAACAGACAGACAGCAAAATCATGAGTGAACTCTCATTCACAATTGCTACAAAGAAAATAAAATACCTAGGAATCCAACTTACAAGGGATGTGAAGGACCTCTTCAAGGAGAACTACAAACCACTGCTCAAGGAAATAAGAGAGGACACAAACAAATGGAAAAACATTCCATGCTCATGGATAGGAAGAATCAATATGAAAATCAACATGAAATCAATATGAAAATGGCCATACTGCCCAAGGTAATTTATAGATTCAATGCTATTTCCATCAAGCTACCACTGACTTCCTTCAAAGAATTGGAAAAAACTACTTTAAATTTCATATGGAACCAAAAAAGAGCCCACATAACGAAGACTATCCTAAGTAAAAAGAACAAAACCGGAGGCATCACACTATGTGACTTCAAACTACACTACAAGTCTACAGTAACCAAAACAGCATGGTACTAATACCAAAACAGATATATAGACCAAAGGAACAGAACAGAGGCCTCAGAAATAATGCCACACATCTACAACCATCTGATCTTTGAAAAACCTGACAAAAACAAGAAATGGGGAAAGGATTCCCTATTTAATAAATGGTGTTGGAAAAACTGGCTAGCCATATGCAGAAAGCTGAAACTGGATCCCTTCCATACACCTTATAGAAAAATCAACTGAAGATGGATTAAAGACTTAAATGTAATACCTGAAACCATAAAAACCCTTGAAGAAAACATAGGAAATACCATTTGAGACATAGGCATGGGCAAAGACTTCATGACTTAAACACCAATAGCAGTGGCAACAAAAGTCAAAATTGACAAATGGGATCTAATTAAACTAAAGAGCTTCTGCACAGCAAAAGAAACTATCATCAGAGTGAACAGGCAACCTACAGAATGGGAGAAAATTTTTGCAATCTATCCATCTGACATAGGGCTAATATCCAGAATCCACAAAGAACTTAAACAAATTTACAAGAAAAAAAAACCATCAAAAAGTGGGCAAAGAATATGAACAGACACTTCTCAAAAGAAGACATTTATGCAGTCAACAAACATGAAAAAAAGCTCAACATCATTGGTCATTAGAGAAATGCAAATCAAAACCACAATGAGATACCATCTCACACCAGTTAGAATGGTGATCATTAAAAAGTCAGGAAACAACAGACACTGGAGAGGATGTGGAGAAATAGGAACGCTTTTACACTGTTAGTGGGAGTGTAAGTTAGTTCAACCATTGTGGAAGACAGTTTGGCAATTCCTCAAGAATCTAGAACTAGAAATACCATTTGACTCAGCAATCCCATTATTGGGTATATACCCAAAGGATTATAAATGATTCTACTATAAAGACACATGCACACGTATGTTTATTGTGGCACTGTTCACAATTGCAAAGACTTGGAACCAACCCAAATGCCCATCAGTGATAGACTGGATTAAGAAAATGTGGCACATATACACCATGGAATACTATGCAGCCATAAAAAAGGATGAGTTCATGTCCTTTGCAGGGACATGGATGAAGCTGGAAACCATCATTCTCAGCAAACTCTCACAAGAACAGAAAACCAAACACTGCATGGTCTCATTCATAAGTGGGAGTTGAACAATGAGAACACATGGACACAGGGAACAGAACATCACACACCAGGGCCTGTTGAGGGGTAGGGGGCTAGGGGAGAGAGAGCATTAGGAGAAATACCTAATGTAGATGACGGGTTGATGGGTGCAGCAAACCACCATGGCACATGTATATCCATGTAACAAACCTGCACCTTCTGCACATGTACCCTAGAACTTAAAGTGTAATAAAAATAAACTGTAACTTGGGGGAAACCTATAGTGTTCCCAGGCATAGATTGTGGAGATTCAAATTCCCAAAGAGTCTGATGGCAAAGAAAAGAAAGTGAGAGGTGTGCACAGCATGTTACAGGAGAATGAACAAATACCAAGTAGGTGCTGAGAAAAGACTTCTTGAGAAAGATGGTACTTGAAATGAGGCTTCATGAGTAAAGAATAAAGATGAAAGGAAAGATTAGATGAAGAAGCATATGTAATGTTAATGAGGCAAAAGAGAGCATTGTTCATTTAGGAGGAAATCATGGAGGTACAGAGTGGCTGAAATCTGAAATTTGAAGTAAGGAAAATGTCATGAGATGAGCTTAGAAAGTCAGTCAAAGATCTCAATGTCATCGTTAACATTTTTCCCCCAATCTAAGGTATATAGAACATATTTATTAGATAATTGGCTAATAAGATTGTATTGTTTTGTATTTGTTTATTTTTTATGTGAAAGAGATATAACTGGATATTAAGGTAAGAAAAATTATAACATGCAGTATGGAGAATATGTTGAAGGGTGCAAAATTTGTAGGAAAGTCAATTATTGCAATCATCTTATCCTAAAATGGCAGCAGAGAAAGAAAGTAAAATGGATTGGAAAAAATGTATATTGTAAAGTTAGAATCAACAATATTTGGTGATTGATTACCTGTATAAGGCGAAGAGAGTCAGAAAATCAAGACATTTCACAGGTTTCTGACTTTGGCAAATTTAGCTTGCAAAAGGCTGGGAATGCCATTCATTAATGTGGAAAATGAAAGTATGTCTGAGAAAACTAACATCTAGAAAATTCATGTTCCCACTTCCATAGTATGAAGTTGTTGGTAGGAAACAGAAAGTGTTACACTTCAACTTCTATTGTGTTAAGTGACTAAAAACTGCAGGCTTATCTATTAGAGCAGCTAATTTTTTTCTAACTTACTTGTCGGTGTTCTATTTTTATAATAACAATTACCCCATATAATAACAAATTACCTGAAAAGTTATTGGCTTAATACAATAAACATTTATTACCTCATAGCATCTATGGAGTCAGATATTTAGAAGTAACTTAGTTGGGTGGTACTGGCTCAGGATATCTCATAAGGTTGCAGTCATGTGAAGGCTTTACAGGGGCTATAAAATCACTTTTGAGATGATTCGCTCATATGGCTATTGGCAGTAGGCCTCAGTTTCTTGATACATGAATTTCTCGATAGAGTTCCTTGAGTGTCTTCATGACATAGGAAGTTCCTTTCCCCAAAGCAAGTGAGAGAGAGAGAGAGAGAGAACACTTTTTACAACCCTAGGCTTGGAAGTTATGCATCATCACTTTCACCACTTCATATTTGTTAGAGGGGAGTCACTAACTCTAGCTTACACTCAAGGAGAGGGAATTAGGCTCCACCTTTTGAAGGAGAGGGTGTCAAAGAATTTGTGGACATATTTTGGAACTACTACCTTAATATAGGAGAAATGTGAGCCTGTCTACTACAGCAGTAAACTTTGCTCTAACATAGGAAAAAAAAATGTGCTTAGTTCTGGTCCCACTGGTTTGCCTGTGAAATATATAAGTGGCAATTTTCAGTAGGCTGTTAATATGCTTAGTTTTATACCTCAGGAGAGATGTTGCTTGAAACCATAAGAATGAATGAAATCACTCAAAGAAAATTTGGAGGGTGGACAAAGACCACCAAAAACAGAACCTGGAGAGGTATCTATGTTAACAGGATATTAGCGAAATATTTTAAAAATTATATGTCAAAATGGGTGAGGAGAACCAAGAGAGAATGATGCACACAAGCCAAAGGATCAGAATATTTTGAAAAAGGCATCAATAATATTGATGTCAGGTTATAAGCTACTTCTGGAGAGGAAAATAATGGGGAAATAATGGGGAATTTTTAGGTATTTCTTATTTTTTTAAATAAGCTAAAGTTCAAGCAAACATGGCAAAATGTCAATATTTGTTTTACCTGAATAGTAGGTAAAGAGTGTCTTTTAAAGCACTTGTATATTTGTATTTATTTGAAATACTTATTAATACAATTCAGAGGAACTTATCAACTTTGCGAAATCCTGCAGAAGGTCAAGTAGGGTAAATGCTGAAAAATGTTCATGTGATTTAGTAATAAAGTGGTCTCTAGGGACCTAACAGAAACAGTTTCAGTGAGCTGAAGCTAGATTGATAGAAGCTGGATTGCAGTAGGCTAAGAAGTTAAATGGAAGGCTGGCTAAAAAGGTCAGCAATGGGACTTTGTAGGATAAAAAGAACTTATTATGCTTTTGTTATTACTTCCTTTCAAAACAAGGTGACTTAAATTATTAATATTTGTAGATGAAGGGGGAGAAAAGCTAGTAGAGAGGGAAGGCATGCAATGCTAGAATAAGACCCCCAGAGGGACAGGACAAGATGCAGAGAGCAGATAGATGTCCTGATGCCCTGCCATGGGACATGGACCTTTTGATTTCTTTTTGTGTGGTGGGGGAAAATGAGGCCTGATACATGGCTTTAATTTCAACTTTCTAAGACCCAATCCTATGAATTGACGACCAAGTGAAATAGTCAAGTAAGTCACATATTATTTGGCTGACCACACACACACATGTACGCGCACACAAAAGCATCCTCTCTGTGTAACAAAAACACCAATAACCACCTTTAAAGGCTAAGGCTGAGTGCATCTGTCTTTTCTCTTTATCTGGTGAATTCTTCGAGGGTGAGAACAGTGTCCCTTTATGCTCTGCCAGCCGTCCCTGGCACATTGTGAGCACTCAATAAGTAATAATTAATCCAGTCCCTTAATAAATAGTCATCCATTTACTCAATGAATAATAATTAATGATAATACAATTTCTGAAAAGAGTGGCAAAACTTGAAAAAAGTTATAAATGTTATATATCTGTTTGTACCTAATTAAATGCAATTTTGTGGAAGATATACTTAGAACTTGAGTTCTATGAACTTGATATGGAATTTTATGCCTTAAATTTTAGGACACTTATTCTTGTAGCTCATATTTTCACCAGTTTCTCAGTCATATTCACATATATTTATATAAAATTTCATTACACACGTATGGGTACATATATGTATATATACATATACCTATATACCTGGGTGTATAGATGTATATATGTATATATATATGTAGGTATACATATATATGTCTATATATACACCTATTTATATATGCATAAACATATTTTTCCATCCACCTGTATATATCACTGACCCTAGGCAAATCAGTGAGACACTATGTTTACTATTTACGTTTGTGTGTGTGGCAAGGGAGGAATCCCCTCTACTTTGTACCACCATCCACACTGTGGTGCTTTATTTGTGCCATAGTGATTAAGAGCACAGACTCTGGATTTATGTTCCTGGATTTAAATCCCAGTTCTACTATTTCCTAAGTGTGCCACTTTGGACAAATTGCTTAATACTATCTTTCAGTTTCCTCATCTGTAAACTGGGGATAATAATAATGATTACCCTCTGGGTGTCTACCTCAGGGGTGTGTTGGGAAGATCATTTAAATTTATATACATACAGCTCTTAGGCACATGACTGACATAAAGTATATACTCTGTGTGTTAGCTAATATCATTACAATCAGATTACTATTTAGCTAATCTCATATGCTAATTTGTAATGAGATGTTAGTAGCTTAATGAATTACTTTCTTACTTTAATCAGGATCTTTGACACTTTCTCTGAAAACGTTATTCACAGTTTGAATTTGAGAAATACTTGTGCTGGAAATACAGTTAAACAGGGATCCTTTTGATGCTACTCAAATTATAGTATATTTACATACTCTTGCTGCTCATTTCAGTTGGCAAGTGAAAAATAAATTCATCCAGTCATTTGTTTCCAAATATCTAGCTTTTTCATCTAACGGATAAGACAATGCATATAATTATTTTTCATTGTTTACTTTACTTTTAGGTTGTACAAACATAGTTATTAGAAAATTAAACCAACTTTCAGGCTGGGTGTGGTGGCTGATGCCTGTAATCCCAGCACTTTGGGAGGCCAAGGTGAGTGGATCACTTGAGGTCAGGAGTTCCCAACCAGCCTGGCCAACATGGTGAAATCCTGTATCTACTAAAAATACAAAAATTAGCCAGCTGTGGCGGCAGGCCCCCGTAATCCCAGCTATTCAGGAGGCTGTGGCAGGAGAATGGCTTGAACCTGGGAGGTGGAGGTTACAGTGAGCCAAGATTGCGCCACTGCACTCCAGCCTGGACAACAGAGAAAGACTCTGTCTCAAAAAACAAGCAAACAGAAAACCCAAAACCAAACAAACAAACAAAAACAAAAGAAAATTAAACTAACTTTCAGAAGTCAATATGGTAAACAGAGGACATTAAAAATCACATGAAATGCTGTAAATCAATCCAAGTTGATATGGCCACAATCATCTGCTAAATTTCCAGTTTGTTTTTCATTTGAAAGTCTTATCTGAGACTCTGAACTTACTTCTTCTTTCCATTCCATTCTTGCAGCTGAAACTAAATATTATTTCTTTTATTCAGGATTTAGTATGTGCCTCCCAAAAAACCTAATGAGTGCCTAATCTTCTGGAGCTGATTTCATAGAGCAACTAAAAAGAGTGAACACCACATTAAAAGAGCATTCATGTAATTCAGACAATGCTTTTATTGATGAGAACAATTTTGCTAAAGCATAAAAGCTTTTTAAAAATAGGATAATGTAAGAAATAGATGTAATAAAAGGAACGAGACCTTTAGATGACAACGGGGTGATAATAAGCACTTGATGCCATGCTTATGAGTTATTTTGTTATTTTAGCCTAATGGCCTGGAGGTCCTTTAAATCACCTAGGTGGATATAACTTATATGAGAATAATAGAGTAGATGGTTGTTTCCATTTGACTTTAAAATAAACTTCAAAGTCATAGAACTTTCTGTATTATGTTGAATTGTTGAATTATGTACTTTTGAAAGACATTGTTTTCATATGCACAATGTTTTTCTAACATGTTAGAAATTTTTCTTACTCAAAATGTAAAAACATGAAAATAAATACTTTAACTCATCTAGGAGAACTGGCTGAGGAGTCCTCTAATGGAATAACTAGTCAACTCTGCCCCTATAAAACTCACCTTTGTTTCCAATGCCTGAGCCATCACTGAAGATTAAAGACAGCATTCAAGGAGGGCTATTTCTCATACTTTACCTGCTCATTAAATGCCAAGATAGTTTTTTACTCAATTATACATCTGCCAATGAAAATAGTGAGCAAAGACAACATCAAGGCCATGTTTTCATTTTGATCATTGTTCCCTAGTGAATTACAAGGTTGTCAGTCTCCTACAATTTATATTGACCTAGGCTTCATAAATCTGGTACAGTAGACTGAGTTGCTGAGCTATATGTTGTGATCATGTCTTTCTACTAACAACATTAATCACTTGCTCAAGAAGAAGTAGCAATTCAAGAGTGTTCTATCTCATGCTCCTGTCAGAAAGGACATCTTAAATAGAGGGCTTACGTGTTTCCCTTTTCCATTAGAGGTTTCTATACTCAGCCTTCTCAATAGGTTTTCAAACTCTAACCTAGTATTTATACCTTATTAGACAATGATAAAATGAATAATTACAATGCAAAGAATTGCATGTTTCAGGAGAAATATACTGTATAAGCCAAAAGTTGTAAAGATGGAATAAAATTAAAAGGACATTAGATGCATTTGCACATGAAAAATTTATTTTTCCATATATACATTCACTTAAAATTAGAGATGTGATTGAGATAAAATGATTTTTTTGTTTTTCATTGTGATAGACTATTTATAACTCATTTTTAAATGAATAACTTTCTCCATAAGGAAGTACTAAAGTTAAACGGAAACCAGCCAACACATCTGTCTCTGAAGTGTTCCAAGGCAAAGATATTAATGAGTTGGGTAGGTTATGCATCTGACCACCAACATTTGATGTAGAAAAATGGAGGACTATGACTAATGTACAGGAAATTATGTTATTTAACACTACATTACATTAGAGATTAAAACAAAACAAAAAATTAGGCTAGTAAGAATGAAATGAAATAAATGAGATTGTTTTAGGTATCACATACTACAGTTATACCATTTCTTCCCACTGTTTTAGAGGATAAACAGAAGCATAAATAATTTTTACTAAAAAATTACTTAAATGCTTTTATGCTCTTTTCCAATCTGATTTTTCATTTGCCCTCCTATAACAGTTATTAGGTAACTCTTAGGGTATATTTAATTTGGTTTATGTATAAAAAAATTTGTAAAAAGTTTTTGACTATTTTTAAAAATAAGATAGATTTTGTTGATCACTGTTCTCTCAAACACTATTAGCTAGCCCATAGAACATTTCTTTCTCTTCTCTCAATCATTTTCTTAAACTGCCATGAAGTACAAAGTAGGGGCCCCATAGTTTTAATTCTTTTTCTTTTTCTCTTTTCCTTTTTTTTTTTTTTTTTTTTTGAGACAGAGTCTCACTCTGTCTCCCAGGCTGGAGTGGCATGATCTTGGCTCACTGCAACGTTTGCCTTCCAGGTTCAACAGATTCTCAAGCCTCGGCCTCCCGAGCAGCTGAAACTACAGGAGTGCACCACCATGCCTGGCTACTTTTTGTATCTTTAGTAGAGATATGGTTTTGCCGTGTGGGCCAGGCTTGTCTCAAACTTCTGACCTTAGGTGATCTGCCCACTTCAGCCTCCCAGATTGCTGGGATTACATTTGTGAGCCACCACGCCCAGCCAGTTTTAATTCTTCATTAAGGGCAAACACGATGGCATTTAATTGGGAAGGAACAAAGAGAAGAGTTCTCAGAATTTATATTTAGTCTTACCAGTGAAGAGCGTGTCTTACACTTTCAGTAAATGTTCCCATCCTTTTTCTATCATTTTTGATAATTTTAGAAAATCATTTAAATAAGAGTTTAATTGTATACAATTTATCAGACTGATTTCTTTCACATTGCTGGCAGTTTTGATTACTGTTGATAATATTGACTTGCCAGCTATACTGAGCCTGAAAATAGGATGGTCAATTAAATTGACTTATTAAAATATATTAAATGATTTTCCAGCCCTTTGTACAAAGGACTAAATCTTTAGTCTCATTTCTGCCACTAATTGGAAGCTTGTAAAGCCATGAATTCTCTTAGCTTTATCTGTATGATAAAGGCCATTTTTAATGCCACAGTCTCATGATGGATATAGAACCAGATTGCTGAAAGATTTGTTCACTGCTTATTAAGTCATCTTTAAACCATCTGTACCTGAACTACATTTTTCTTACAATAAAATTAAAATGAATTCTTGAGTAATAAAGACATCTAAAGGAATGTTGGATAATACAATTAAAAGCACTAAAAACAATACCAATGCTAATATTATTTTGTACAAGGAATGTAATGCAATATGATAGTAAAACCATACTCACAAGTCATAAAAGTACAAAAAATGTGAAGAAGAAAAAAGTCCCTCATAATCTTAAAGGCCTTAATGTTATTATTTTGGAATGCTTACTCCCATCTTTTCTTGTTCAGACACTACTCTGTAGTGAATATAAGTTTTCAACATGGCTGTTTGTGGAATCCTAATCTATGTTGAAGCATTGTCAACTAACTCTTCTTGCACACATAAAAATAATTTAAATCACACAAAATATTTGAAAAGGTTATTTCAGAGAGCAGGTCTTTGACAATTTTTCTCCTCCTCAATTGTAAGCCTGGTTATTTCACAAGGCTAAGATCAAGGTCCTTCAATATGGAAATATCAGCTGGTCTCTGGAACATTCAGAGAGAAATTAAACAGTTAAGTGGAAGGATTGAAGTTGCAATAGGCATTTTGAAATTTTCATGTAGGAGATTTTAGACTTTTTCTATAGGTAGAACTTAGAAGACAAAAAATGAAAGGAACTGCTTCAAGCAATGGCATGGCAATGACCATAATATCAAACACTTGAGTCAATCCATCTTCAAAAAGCTAATCCAATTAGAAAGTGAAGAAAAAGTTTATTTAAGTACTTGAGCCACACTCTTCCTGAATCCTTTTACAATATCACCCAGGTGCTAAAGAGTCTTAGATCTTTACCTCCAGTGTGGTCTCTCTTCTCACTCCAGGACAGTGCATCCAATTGCCCCTAAACCAATCATTTGGGTGGCTCACAGTTACCGCCTGTTCAGTGTATCCAAAACTGAACCGAGAAAACTTTGCTCAAGCCAGAAAACAAGGGAAATTTCTCTTCAAACTCTAAATTCAATCAATAACTAAATTGTGTCAATCTACTATTTAAACATCTCTTCACTGATTTCACTTCTCTCATTTCCATAGTGCCTCCCTGCTTTCAAACCACTGTCATCTCTCACCCAAATATGCTATAATAGTCTCCTGGCTGACTCCTGGTTTTCTTCTTCCTCTCCAATCCACTTTGCAGTAAGGCAGAGGCAGGGAGTGAAACTAAATGAAACGGATTTAGACTCATCCTTGACAAACATCTTTAAGCATTTTCTGAGTCTAAGTAACTGAAAGTGGATTGCAGTCACTCTCATGAACTAGTTCTTGCTTTCCTTCTCAGCACCGTCTCTCAAAACTTTTAGCCTTAAACTGAAAGCCCAAAACTAACTAAAATACTATGCTTCAATGCAACACGCCTCTCTCTTTTTTCATCTCTGCACATGTTTTTGCCCTTGCTTGAATATTATGTTCCACCTTTTGCCTGGCTAGTTTCTACTCACCTTTTAATATCATCCCTCAGATTTCCTCCTGAACATAGCCTTCAGTGGCCCCCAAGACTTGGCCAGATACTCCCTCCTCTGTGCATCCGAAACACCTGCTTCATCGGAGAACTTGCCATACTGCATTGAGATTCCTGGCTACTTGTCTGTCGTAAGGGTCAGAACTGTGTCTTTCTAGCCACTGTGCCTCACATCTATATTTTCCAGATTTCTCCCAGTTCTACCATCTATGCACTTTGTCCCCATCTAGCTGCACTCTCCATGGTTTCATTAACCTTGCCTTACTGTCTTTCCTCTCTCTATTACTTTCCCTTGAAATCACCCACATTTACCTAAATCTTACTTGCTCCTCAAAGTCAACTTCATTTGTCCCACATTCATGAACACTTCCCTGGTTTCAAAGTGCAGAACTCCTCAGAGGCTCTATTACACTTGTGTGGCACACACTGGCCTTGTATGTTAAATGCCTTTTTGCTTGTCTGCTTCTCTTCCTTATGGTACACAGACAGAAACCATATAGTATATTTCTGTTACCCTTACATTCCACCAGTTAGCACCAGTACCTGAAAATAAATAGCCATTAGTCTCCAGACTTAGAAATTCACATGCCAGATGTACTAACCCTTGTCTTGGTATCTCTCTTCCTAACATGCTTTCTCTCTCTTTGCTCTGAAATCTATCTATCATTTTCCAGATTTACCTCCTTAAAGAGACATTTCAAACCTCTCATCTTCCAGGGAGTTTTCTTAAACTCACCTGTCAGATTCTGATTCTTCTCCCATCCTTCTTTTCCTGTGTGTTTGTTAGTATATATATTTTTGGATATTACTTTGTGAAAGCTAATGTGCAATTTTGATTGTTTTTAGGTAATTTCAAGGAGATTTACTTCATCTCTTAAAGCATCTTGTAAACTCTAGAATTGCTGTTTAATAGAACTCTGGGCTATGATGGAAATAATCTATATCTGTGCTATCCAACAGAATACTCACTAAACACATGTAGCTATTGAGCACTGGAAAAGTGGCTAGCAGACCTAAGAAATAAAAAATGCAATTTTAAAATTTTTTATTAAGTATAAATAGCTATATGTGGCCAGTGGTTACTATATTGAACAATGCAGTTCTCAATCCTGGAGACAGCATATTTTAAATTACTTCTCTTCCTTAATGTGTCCAGTACCTAACAGAAAACAATGCCTTATAATTATAAGGTATTTTATAAGTAATATATGAAATATTATTGAATGAGGGGCCCTACTCAAGTTTTGAAATCGCTTTGATATAGGCTGAGCAAATATTTTTATGCCTATTTTTGAAATGGTAACCAGAATGTTAGTAACTTATTTAAGATCATATGGAAACCACTGGCATATTTTTATTTGCCCCCCCTTCCATCTTTTGTTATCCTAATTCTTACACTATTATCCTTTCCTTTTTAATGTCAATTTGACACGCAATACAGTCTATCAATAAACTGAATTCTTAAAGTAAGAAACTTATTTATATCACATGATTTTCATTGATTGATCATTTATTTATTTACTCCACAAATAGTTACTGAGCAATAATAATGAGCCAAGCATGCTAGATGCTAGCAATAAAATGGTAAATGTATGGATCTCTGATCTGAAGGGGCTGATTGTGTGAATGTGCTTGGGGGGTGGTGACAAATATTAAATAAATAACTACACATTGTATTAGTCCATTCTTACACTGCTATGAAGAAATACCTGAGACTGGGTAATTTATAAAGCAAAGAGGTTTAATTGACTCACAGTTCCCCATGGTTGGGGAAGCTTCAGGAAACTTACAGTCATGACAGAAGGCACCTCTTCACAAGGCAGCAGGAGAGAGAATGAGTCAGCACAGGAAAAACTACCATTTACAAAACCATTAGATCTTATGAGAATTCACTCACTATCACGAGAACAGCATGGGGGAACCCACCCCCATAATCCAATCACTTCCCACCAGGTCTCTCCCTAAATTGTAATCTCCCTGGGGATTACAATTTAACACGAGATTTGGGTAGGGACACTAAGCCTAACCATATCACACATATACAAAAGCAAATGATTACAAATATGGAAAAGTGGTGGGAAGATAATAACCTGGGGGTAAGGTAGAGAGTAACTGGGAACACTCTTTGAGATAGGTTTTCAGAGGACCATTCTCAGGGGAGGTCACATGTGAATTTCGATCTAAAGGACAAGACTTACAGGATGGAAAGACCTGGAAGAGAATTCTGGTTAGAGGGAATAGCAAGTTCTAAGGCTAGGAGGTATTTGATGAGCTTGAGGAACAAAAGGGAGGCTCATGTGGCTCTGCAGCATGGTGAATAGGATAGGGATCTGTCTTAGCTTGGGCTGCCATAATGAAATACCATAGACCAGGTTGCTTAGAAATAAGAATTATATTTTTTCACTCTTCTGGAGGCTGGATGTCTGAGATCAGGGTACCAGCATGGTTAGGTTCTGTTGAGGGCTCTCTTCTGGGTTGTAGACTTCCAGCTTCTCACTGTGTCCTCATGTGGCCTTTTGTTAGTATGTGTCTGTGGAGAGAGAAAAGGAGAGATCTCCTTCTCTTCTGCTTTATGTAAAGCCACCAATTTTATGGGATTAGGGTTCTATTCTTATGAACCTTGTTTAGCCTTAATTACCTCCTAACAGTCCTCTCTCCAAATATAGCCACATTGGGGATGAAGATTTCAATATATTAATTTATAGCAGGGGTATATGAAAAGATAAGGTTAGAAAAAAGAGTGGGCTGCATCATGCAGCACCTGGTAAGGAATTTGGATTTTATTTAGAGATAAAAGAAAAAAACATATAAAAATAGGAAAATCTCAAGTGTTAACCTAGCTTTCTTTCAGCTCGTAGAAAATGTATTCATTCAGTGTCCATTTACGACGCTCCCATGTAACAGAGACACTATGCTGTACTCTAAGATTATAAGGATAAATCAATCATAGATGTACCACAAAGGAGCTCACAATTGAGGAAGCATGGAATTGAAAAATAAACTCACGAGGGAAGACAATATTTTTGATGAAGGGTGTTGGAGCAACTTTGACTCCTGCCTCACAGCATACACAAAAAGTGAATCAGAGATAATCATAGACCTAACTGTAAAATGTGAAACTACAAAGCTTATAGAAATAACAACAGGGAAATATCATCATGGCCTGGGGGTGGGCACAGAGTTTTTAGACAGGACAAACATGTATAAGATAATGTATTAATTGTTAATTAAATATACAATACAATTGAATACATTAGGTTAGTACAAAATTAATTGCAGTTTTTGCTGTTGAAAGTAATGACAAAAACAGCAATTAATTTTGCACCAACCTAATACAATATAGTACAATATGCATTACAATTATGATACAAAATAATGCAATATGATCCACAAAAGCAAGTAAATGAATACTTCACAAAAAAGATATATGAATGGTCAATAAGCACATGAGAAGATGCTCAGCATCATTAGTCATCAGGGAAACATGATTTAAAACAAGAAAGAGGTACCACCATACACCCACTAGAATTGTTCAAATAAAAATGACTGGCTTATATGAGGTATCTAAAATAGCTTTGAAAAACATTTTAGTAGATCCTAATAAAGATAAACATATACTTACTCTATAGTTCATCAATTTCACTCCTAGGTATTTACCCAACATTGAAAACAAGAGTCCACTAAAAATTTGTGCACACGTTCCCACAGTAGCTTTTTTCACAATGGCCAATAACGGGAAGCAATCAAATGTCCATCAACAGAAGCATAGACACCAAGTTGTATTATATTCACTTGATGGAAAATTACTCAGTAATAAAACTCCTGATACATTCAACATCATAGATGAATAACAAAAATATGCTGAACAGATGAAAATAGGCATAAAAACACAGATGGTATCATTGTATTTATAAGAAGTTCAAGCATAATAAAAACTAATCTATAGGAATAAAAACTAATCTATAGGGATAAAAACTAAAAAAAAGTTTTAGGGAGTGATGAGGGTTAGGAAGTATTGATTGGAAAGAGATCTTTCAATGGTAAAGGAAATCTATACCTTGATTTAGTGTTGGTTACACAGATGTTCCATTTGTTAGAATTCTTAAAACTTTTACATGTAAGCTCTGTACATTTTACTATTCATAAGATATATAAATAAAAAATACATTTACTAGTACAATGTGATGAGGAGCATAAAGGGGGAAATGCAAAAATAAGCAAAAATAAGGAGTAATTATGCCTTATAGTCTGACTGAAATACTAAAGGGCTCAGAATTGAAGTCTGTAATTTAATCTGACTCACTTGGGAGCCCATGTTGGGCCCAGACACAGAGGATTGGACTCGAATAACAACAGTATTTCACTCTACCAGGAGCATGGACCTAGCTCAATGACTGGATACTTCTTACTTTTTCAGTCCAAACAATTACCCAATAACTGTCAGAAAATTCTGACCTTAAGACTGAAATCTGTGATGAGGCATGACTACCCCCATTGGTAGAACACATTGCCTTCGTTAGGCCTAAAGTTTGAAATCTGCTAGAAGGGTGGGGAATCTTCGGTTTTGGAGCTCATTTCTGTTGTTTTTCTGGTGCAGCCTGGGAATGCTAAACTTTAGGCCATAGGGCAAGCCTCATCTGTTTAGCCTCATTGTTAAGGGAAGGGCTGTTCGGCTTTATAGTCTCTCTGGGAAGGGTGGGGATGCAATTCTTTTATGCTTTACTTGTTAATTGTAAATACAGGCCAGTGGTTGAATACTAGTTATAAATTCAAAATCAAACCTAACAGATTACAATGAATAAGTCCAAGACAACAGACTGAATAGTTTATAGCGTTTTTAGAGAGATGCAGGAAAATAAAGAAAGATGAGGCCTACACAGACCTGGATAAATATTTGAATAAGCACTATCTTCTTGATATCCATTTACATTTCTTTTTAAGGCCCCTTTATATCTCCCTGTGTTTTGGGTATGCTTCCTCTTTGTCTCCTGAAATACTCATACCTGCTGCATTTCTGCTGTTAAGGGCTCAATTTACTGAGCCCAAATATTAGCACATTACCACTATGATATTACTGACCTTATATAATAAGTTTCGGTATATGTACCATTATTATTCCTTATTTACAGATGAAGAAACAAAGGCACAGAGAAGGTACGTTGCTTGTGCAAAATTACACAGAATTCAAGATTTGAATTTGATAATCTAATCATGGGAGGCTTGACCATCAAGCTAAGCTAATTGTCATCTCCCCACTCATGCCCCTTTCTTTTCCTTAAGCACCAACTTTGTAACCCTTTGCATATGGTGTCTAGTGTAAGCCTTGCAATGACTTTGAGAGGACTTTGAGAGGTAGGACTTCAAATCTCTATTTTATGGATTTAGAAACATCCAAAGCACTAAGGTTGAAAGTGTTGGTTAACTTGCCCTAGATTGTGCAGCTAGAAAGTGGTAATGACACCTATATTAGAACCCTTATCTACTGCCACGGCTGTGAGTCTTTCTACCTAAAAGACAATCAGCATAGAATTTCTTCCAGGGCTATTTGTGTTGAAATAAAATTTCCGGCATCTGAGGAAGTTATTTGGGAAGATGGTTTAGGGTGAAGACCCCTCAAGTGACACTACAAAGTGACCACTGTTCCTCTTCTTGTGAGGCTGCTGCTGTGCACATGGAGACTACACAATGAAGAATTGGGCCTACCACTCCTTCTGCTTTCTCCTATGCACATTGCCCGGTAATCACTGTCTGCTTGACATATGGTGATGGTTATCTAAACTTAGCATTTTACATCTGATTGCCTGGCTAATTTATAACATCACCACATCACCACTAAATTCATTTGGAAATCTTCTAAATTTGGTTCTTCTTTAGTCTGACCTAGACAGTTCAAACAAGGTGGCTCATTGACTATAATACCATCAGTCTTAAGAAATTGCTGTATGAAAGGAGTTTTTAAATGTATCTTTGGAATCCATTCCAGCATATGATTTACCTAATAAGGTTTTACTTAAGCTAATTCTAAAGTAGTTTGCATTTTTTGAGAAAATAAATGTACATGGGGAGAACCCAGAAATGAGTTGGAAGTCAAGAGAGAGCCAGGTAGTGCAGATATCATTGAAACAATGTGGAATTCACACATACTGTGTATATATTTTTCAAAATCTTGGGATTTCATTACTCCTTTTCTAGTCAATATAACATTTTAACTTTCTGGAAGCCTCATTTCTCTTATTTTTAAAAATCAGGACAATGAGTCTGTTGATTTCTTAGTTCTTTTCCTGCAAAACATTTTATCCTTTCTATACTATAATATACTGTGCCTACATATTTTGAGGTTTTGAAATATATAGAACTGTGGGTTCATCATTTCACTCATTCATCTGATATTCATTTCACAAATATTTATTGAGAACCTACAAACGACAGGCACTGTGCCGGTTTGGGGAATGAAGAGGACACAGTCCCTGCCCTCAAAGAGATCTATACATAGAATTGAATAACACTGTAAAGATGGCTAATAAAAATCTCACAGGTGACAAACTTCCTGGAGATGACAGATCACAATTGCTCTTGCTTTTATTACAAAATATAGAAAAGGTCTCTTTACTTCACAAGCCAACAAGAACAAGTCTCCTCTCTAGCAGTGCTCTTACCTTTTGTCTGACTCCCTTGGAACTGGGAAGGTTTTTGTTTTTCTTTTTTTCTTCTTCTGCCTTTTTTTTTTTTTTTGGTACATAAATGAATAATATAGAAGACAACCCATAGCCAGTTTGTATTCCCTGCTGTCCTTCCAAAGCTTCATAGCCCAAAATAAAGGTGCTGCGGAGGTGGAGAACCCAATTTCCATTCTAAGTTTCACACAGTGGGTTTCAGTCAATTAAAATTTCTGTTCCTAAGATACAGTTGCTTATGGAGGCAAGTTGCACCCACATTTTTTGGAAACAATGATCTTGGTCTAGAGGAACTTTTCTGTCCCTAATACCTGTTGAGACCTCAGAGATTCTGTTCAGTTGCTAGGGAATGTCATAAAGCCAGTTTTATTTCCTTTCCCAGGCATCAACTTCCCCTATTACCTGGGTTTTGACTGCAAGCAAACCAACAAACATCTTGGGTGGGGTGGGGGCAGGGGGGTGGACAACATGTTTCTTGTTCTTTTTATCCTTACTAATACATTGGAACTAAGCCATCTGGCTGCCTTTTGGGTAAATCTATTTTATAACAAGATTTTTTTTGATGATTCAGTAATTAAACCCCTTTGGATAGAGTTCAAGATGGACCTGCCTTATGCTGAATTTCGCTTTGGAGCAAATTGTTAGTCACAGGTGCCAGTGAATGTATGAAGGAGAATGAGAAATCTCTAACTGATTTTTGAAAATTGGTCATCTCTCAGAGTTTTCTTTGACCTTAGGTCCACTTTTCTTCAGAGGTGAGTAAGGTGAAAATGTGCTCAGAATTGCCCTCTGGTCTAGCATTGTTAAAATTGTTATCTGCTATCTTTACCTAAAATCCAACCTCCTGAGGTTGAAATGTTGACAGTAAGAGTCCTAATGTTGTTACTCATGATTAAAGTATAGGCAAACAGCTCCATAGATTCATTCATTCATTCATTCATTCATTCAGTAAACATGTGCTACATGCTAAGTTAAGGGTTCAGAAATCACCAGAGAAGCTTGTGAGCTCAGCATCATCGTAACATGATTCATTAGAGAGTTAATATTTCTTATTGTCATTGTTATGTTGGGGCTTCAAACATTAAATGTGGCTTGTTTTATTATTATCTTTGTGATATTTTTCTAAGAATAATTCACTTATTTTGAGCAACTTACCTTTCTATCCCTTTGCTCAAAAAAGTATAAATCAATACAAAAATGTGGTTAAAAATCAAGTAATCAGTCATGTTTTTCTTGCAATGTTATGGGAAAAATTTTAGCTTCCAGCCTAGTGGTGCTTCCAATTTATTTTGCCATGAATCATGGAAAGTTAATAGTCAGTTTGGGAATTTTTGTCTGGTCACGAATTCATATGAAAATCTCTCTTTAAGAACATCATCGATTTGGACTCTCACTCTTAGAAAATATTTTTAAAAGAATTTATATTTTTAGAGCATTTTAAGTTCACAGCAAAATGAAGAGGAAAGTGTAGAGATTTCTCACGTATTCTCTATCCCAACACAAGCATGTCGTTTCCCTTTGTCAACAACCCCACTAGACTGGTACGTATGTTACAACTGATGAACCTACATTAACACATAATTGGCACACAAGGTCTATAATTTACACTAGGGCTGGCTCTTGGTGTTGTACATTCTGTGGGTTTTGACAAATGTATTATGATATATATCCATCATTATAGTATCACAGAGTTTTTTGCCTTGCCCTAAAAATCTGCTGTGCTCTGCCTATTTACTCCTGCAACACCCTGGTAACCACTGATATTGCTAGTGTTTCCACAGTTTTGCCTTTTTCAGAATGTCATACAGTTGGAATTATATAACATGTAGGCTTCAGATTGACTTTTTTCATTAGTAATATGCATTTATGTTTTCTCCATGGCTTGTCATGGCTTGATAACTCATTTTGTTTTATCACTCAACAATATTCTATTGACTGGATATACCAAAGTTTATTTTTCCATTCACCTTCTGAAGGGTATCTTCGTTGCTTCTAAGTTTTGGCCATTATGAATAAAGCTGCTGTAGACATTCTTCTGCAGGTTTCTGTGTGGATATAAGTTTTCAACTTTTTGGGGTAAATACAAAGGAGCACAGTAACTGGATTATTTGGTAAGAATATGTTTAGTTTTGTAAGAAACAGCCAAACTATCTTCCAAAGTGGCTGAACCATTTTGCATTTCCACCAACAATGAATGAGATTTCTGTTGCTCCACATCCTCACCAGCATTTGGTGTTGTCATTCTGGATTTTGTCCATTCTAATAGGTACGTAGTGGTGTCTCATTGTTAAGATTGTTATCTGCTATCTTTACCTAAAATCCAACCTCCTACAGTTGAAATGTTGACAGTTCTCTTTTGCATTTTTCTGGTGACATATAATGTGGATCATCTTTACATATGCTTATTCGCCATCTTCTTTGATGAGGTGTCTGTTAAGATCTTAGGCCCATTTTGAATCAATTTGTTTTATTATTGTTGAGTTTTAAGAGTTCTTTGTATATTTTGGACAACAGTTTTTTGTTAGATATATCTTTTACAAATATTTTCTTCCAGTCTGTGGGTTATATTCTCATTCTTTTACATGTCTTTTGCAAACTAGATTTTTTTAAAAAAATTAATGAAGTTCAGCTTATCAATTATTTCTTTCGTAGGTCTTGCCATGGTGTTTTATCTAAAAAGTCATTGTCATGCTCAAGGTCATCTAGGTTTTCTGCTAAGTTGTCTTCTAGGAGTTTTATAATTTTGCATTTTACATTTAGGTCTATGTCCATTTTGAGTTACTTTTTGTGAAGGATATAAGGTCTGTGTCTATATTCACTTTTTGTATGTGGATGTCCAGTTGTTCCAGCACAGTTTGTTCAAAACACTATCTTTGCTTTATTATATTAACGTTGCTCCTTTGTCAAAGATCAGTTAACTGTATTTATGTGAGTCTATTTCTAGGCTCTGTATTCCATTTCTTTGATCTATTTGTCTATTTTTTCACCAATATCACACTATTACTGTAGCTTTACAGTAATTCTTAAAGTCTGGTAGTGTCAGTCCTCCAACTTTGTTTTTCTCCTTCAATGTTGCATTGGCTATTCTGAATCTTTTGCTTCTCCATATAAAATTTGGAATCAGTTTGTTGATATCTGTAAAAAACTTGCTAGAATTTTGATTGGGATTGCATTGAAGCTATAGATCAAGTTGGGAGACTTTCTAGTTCTTTTCCTGTCTTCGTCCTTTCTCCCTTGTAATCACTTTCTAATTGGTCAGATGAACCACCTCTCAACATGCCTAAGTGTTTTCTTAGCCATGATCTAGTTACAATGTCATTTATATCAGCAGTGCTGAGGGCTTGTTTGACAAGGAAAGCAACCCCCTGTGTCAGTTAATTGGGTAATAATTCACTTTTATATCAAGTTAAATTGTTTGAATCTTTTAAATTGATAATGAGCTTGGAACTTCTCCTTAAACACAAGAATAGCTTGCTTTGGGAGGAGTAGGCTATTTGCATTCTGGCGTTGTCCTTGCTTGGGCATAGATATGCTTTCTTTTTTGAGCTTGTATGAATGGTTACTGCAGGCTAGCCTCTTTTAGTGGAAATGAAATGCTCTCAAATTCCTGGGAATTCACCAGATGGTACCAGACGTCAGAATATAAGTGGTGACTTTCACCTCTTTAGTGGATGCTGTGTTGACTGACATAAACCACATCTTCATGATGAAATAGCTGATGTTTGTAATTAGAGAGGAAAATGCTGTATGGCTTATGTGCTGTATGGCTAAGATATCGACTCTGCAAAGATTAATGGGATAACTTAATGGATTTGGGGCATAAGACCCATTGTTTGAGTTACATTTGGGGTCACACTTGGGAAGACGTTTTTTCCTGTTCTCAATAAGGTTTTAAAAAGCTGCTTATATGATTATAATTTATTTAAGAATTTTCTTTAAGCAATCTCTCTTGTGAGATTTTTAAGGCATCTTTGGATATACATTTAAAATATTTTATCTCATTTCACACTGTCTTAAATTTGGCTTTATAGCATATAATGTTTTCTCCCAAATTATACCATTGTCTAAGTCTTTGAGAAGCAGATGGATGGGGTGAAGATTATGGACTATCAGCAGAAATCTTGGTGAATAGAGTTTTGGAAACTCTTAGTCTCTTGGCAGCAAGAAAAAGCTTTCTGCCATTTATTAACAGAAACTGAGCAAAAAGACAAATAATTCTTTTATTTTCCTCCCATCCTAAACTTTTTGTAGGGGTAAATTGAGTTAGTTTTGTATAAATGTATTAGTCAACTTGGGTTGGCATAACAAAATATTCTGGACTTGGTGGCTTAAACAACAAAAAATTTATTTCTCATAATTTGAGGCTGGACATCTGAGATTAGGGGACTAGCATGCTTGGGTTCTGGTGAGACCTCCCTTCCTGGCTTTTAGATGCCCACCTTCTCATTGTATCCTCACATGGTGAGAGAGGGAGCTCTGGTATAGCTTTCTCTTCTTATAAGGACACTAATCCCATCACGAGTCCCCACCCTCATGGCCTCATCTAAATCTAATTACCTCCCAGAGGGTCCCCTCCAAATACCATCACATTTGGGTTTAGGATTTTGATACATGAATTTTAGGGGACATATATGTTCAGTCCATAATAATAAATGAGAGCTTTTCTCATTTTAAATATGAATGTGTCATATTTCAGTGTTTTTTGTTGTTGTTGGAAGAGAAGAATCATGAGACATACATTCGTTTAATGTTGTATCAAATTTCCTCTTTGATGCTCAGACTTTTTCTTAGTAACAGGTCATTTTATACTTTCCAGGGATGACATGGCTAAAGCAGGAGCTTTTATTTTCTTCTCCTCAGTCATAGATCCCTATCGAATTTCTCTTTTACTGTTTTTCTTTTAAACAAAATTTAAAATATTGTATTTCACAAATGGGCTAAGAAAGAGAGTATGAAAGAATGGAAATAACATAATACCAAGAGTCTACATAATAGTATCTAGTTTAAAAGTATTTCAGAAACACAAAAGTTAGGAGAGAGAAAAGGTCCCAACAAGCAGGCAGGTGGCTGTACAAGAAAAGGAGCTTGCTAATGGCTGGTATGCTTTTCTGAACACTTGAATTACTGCATAAACACATCCTTAATATGGCCATAACAAACAGAAAGGTATGACTTAATGATCAAATAATAAATAACAAAGAAAAAATAATTAAGCTACAGGTGTTACATGATGAAGCCCTGAACCATGGAGCAGAGTTCAGCCAAGTAATTTTAGCAGTTCTGCAGGATTTTTAAATCTCTCAATTTAATTCATATATTTCTATGAAAAAGAAATGTTATTTTTTAAAAATGCATTATTCAGATGTATTTTACCTGTTATATTAGAAATTATTTGTAGTTGGTTGATAATCATCCATGAAATTATTTTTAACAAACCTTCACAGAGTGCCTACTCTGTGTAAAGCCCCATGCTACGCACCATGGATGCAAAGAGGTCTCACAGTTCATAGTCTAGTAGCAGAGATGGATGGTAACTTTGCAATTACAGTACAGGATGACAAGCTCTGTGTTTTTTAAGGAACAAGAGATGCTTTGTAAGAAGGGCCACCTAAACCCACCTGGAAGACTTTCAGAGGAAGCTGATATTGAGGCCACATGAGACTAATTTGGAAAATGGAGTGGTAGAAGAGTCTTTCTAGGGAAAGGAAGAAGCACATGCAAAAGTGTTTGGCTCAACCAGTACTTTTTAGTTGAGTATAACTGGTACATAGCAAGTGCAAGAACTGGGCAGATAGATAATTATTATGAAGAGCCTTACCTGAAGTCACTGTGAGTGAAGCCACTGTAGGGTTTAGAAAAATCAAAGAGGTAGCAGTGTAGCAGGTAGGTTAAAGGTGATTACAAGTACATGTAGAAAGACCAGTTAAAAGGTTTTTTATGGTAAACAAAGGAAGAACAAATAAGTTTCTAAAGGTAGTCAGAGTTGACATAGATAAGTGTCAAAAATGTGAGAAACATTTTAGCAGTAGAATTAATTGAGATTGATGATAAATTTGGAGAGATGGGAGAGTAAAGGAAAGTGAGAGGTCAAAGATGACATTTAGGTCTATGATTTCAATGATGCATATGGGTGCTGCCATTCACCTAGAGTAGTCTGGGAAGAGAGAAAGATCGGTAGGAAAACTGATGGGTTCAATTTGAGTTGCATTCCATTTACAGTGTCTTTTTAGGCATTCAAGTGGAAATTCTCACAGGTAGTTTTATATAAAGGTAGTTATATATAAAGGTCTAGAGATGAAGAGAAAGACCTTGGCAAATATGTATATTTGGGAATTATTGCATACTTGGTAGTAATTGACACCATTAGCATGAATATATTATCCAGGAGGATTGGCCAAAGGATAAGCTTGTAGCAAGATTATCTCTTAAGAAGCAGGTAGAGAAAGAGTAGATAATAAATGACACTATGAAGAAATAGCTGGTGAAGCATGGGGCTGGTTTCCTGAAGTCAAGGGAATTTAAAGAAAGAACCTAAGTTATAGAGGCAATCGCTGCAGCGCAGCAAAGCAAGTTACACATTGGAAAGTGGAAAGGGTGATAATACAAATTATCATCTAAAATAGAATATATTTGAGAATGCAAATGATTGTTATTAATAATTGTGATAAGACAACAGGTATAAATGAGGAGTCCTCCAGGCAAACCAGAATAGATAGTCATTCTATATTTAGAAGAATTATTTCAGTGAAGTAGAGGCAGTGGCTGTAGATAGGAATAGTTAAGGAGGAAAGTGAATGATAAGAAATTAAAGTCCTCCGGTATAGACAATTTTCTGGATTAGCTAATTTTTGAAGAGGAGAGACTGAGTGATAAGAAATTAAAGTTCTCAGGTATAGACTAATTTTTGAAGGGGAGAGACTGAGTGGTACTTAGAGATGGATAGAGGGTAGAGGGTTAAGAGAGAATGTTTTTTTCCTGGCAGACACTTGAACAATCTTGTAGGTGAGAGATGTCAATGGAGAGGGTGAAGTCCAGAAATTTATGATAAGAAAGAATAAATGAAAAACTTCTGGATGGGAGTGTAAGGGGATAGCAGGACTAGTTCCAGAAAGGGGAATAAAATCAATTTTTTAAAGAGACAGGAGAAAAAATAAATAGAAAGCAAATATAGCAAATATGTGGGTGGGTGGGTGTGAAATCGGGCAAGTTTTCACTTTATTGTCTCTGTTTTCTCTGTAAAATATGAGAGTAAGCCTTCTGCTGAGAGTAAAGAATGAGATTAATCGATAGGGAATTGAGAAAAGCAGGTAAAATAGGAATGGTTAGTCTGGATAGTAAGAGACAAGCTGAGTAGGAACACACAAACAGATTTTTAGCTAATATTAAGGGTTAGTTTGACATCATTAACTTGCAGTGACACAGATCTGCATAGCTTGACATTTTATTCCCACCTCTTCCATTTTAGTTGGTAGTGATTGTAGTATTGGCCAGATTGAGGTTATGGTAGGCAGATGCAGCAGGAGGAGGCAAAAGAATTGAGGACTAGTCAAAGGGGCGATTCAATACTGGATTATTGTCCACATGAGAAATGGGAACAAGAGGAAACTGATGAATGGATAAGAACAGAAATGTGGGTAAATTCTAAGTCTCACTCAAGTTAGGAAAGATGGATGTTAACAGTAGAAATGAGATAGCTAGAAGTACAGGAATCTGTATTCAAATCAGTGGATAAGACTTTAAGATTTTACAGCTTTGATAGTTCTGGGTGTGATCTCTATCAGTAAACCAATTAATCTTACCTCCATCCATATTTTATTCCTTCCATGGGCTTGCTGCAGGATCCTGTGTCTTATTGTCCTCTTGGCTTTCTTGACTATATGGTTTGACTCTAATTCTTTCTCTATTAGCCCTGGAAACGTCTTTGCTGGGGACAAGTAGCTCACTTCTCCAAGACTCTCTCTAATACCTTCAGAATGTGCATGACTCATGGGGAAGTCAGGAAAATCACTTCCAAACCTTTTACCACTAATTCTGGCCCAGGCTGCAATTTCCTCCTGCTGTGATCTTTTTGCTTTCTCACTTTAAAAATCCAGACCACGAAACAGTTCTTGCCCACCTAAATAACTTTCCATGCAAGTCATTAAAATTCACTTTGATTTTGCCAAATGGAGGAAGAAACTTGGATCCTTTCACTGTGGGAATCTGCCTTGGTGCCACTAGTTCTTTCATTCTTCCCCCCCATCAATCAGTGAACTTTTTAGCCTACTCAAAGCTTTGCTCCAATGCATAGGATTTATGATTGTGGGGATTTCCAGATAATATAAATATTCAACATGAATATTTTAAATTAAGGCATGAGACATTTTTCCTAACTGAGCATAGCCATGAACCTCTCACGTCTGTTCCTCTGTGTCAGTTTGTAGCACTGAATACAGTAGCCCTCCTAAAAGTCCAGGCAGTGCACAGGTCTTGACATGATGAAGTGACGTGTTGCTATGGTGATTTTGCAGCTGGCCAAATAGTCACTGGTTGATTTTACCCAGCAGGAGATTTTTGCAAAAATTTCCTGGGTGAGAGTGAAATCAAACTCCTATTTTGTTTCTCCTCTGCAAGCTGTAGTTAAGATGGATTAATGAGTACTTTTAGATTAATTAACTCTGAAGAGAAAATGGGAGAAAAGTGAGGAAGGTTGTTGGCAGAAGTCATTGCTGGAATCCTTCTGAAGGGAGTACTGACTTCACTTGCAAAGACAAGAGACTAGAAGACAATGAAGTTAAACTTGGCCTGTCTCTCATATGATAGATGCTGAGAGTACAGGTTCAGGGAAATTTAATTCTGTCATACGCATATTGGATTATGTGGTCATGGCTTTGTTTGGCACTAACCAGCTTTAATCAGATAAGAAAGTGCTTGATAGAGTAAGAATATAATGCCCAGAAAAACCTGAAAACTTGAAAAATTGTTGGTGCTATGTTGTTGTTCTAAAGACCACTGTGATATTAAGCAAAATGAGAGGGAAAATGTTACCTATTTTCTTTCTGCCACTTGGATTGTTTATTCAAGGTCCTCAAAGTTATAAATATTAAATAATCTGTGAAAAAATTAGAATCAATGCCAGGCCTGTGTGATCATACCTGTTACTGCTCTACTTGTTTAGACATAAATGCAGTTTAGCATTAAAGATCCTTTAAAAACATGTTTTCCCAATGGTTAAAAGACAAGCTCAAATAAATGAACTCTCATACATATGCCAAAATTGATGAGTAGATAAATATTTCAGTAGGTAGTTACTAGCTTTCTGTGTATGAGTAAACATATGGGAGAAATTTAAAACACTAAAGTAGTCTCAATGAAAGCATAGTATCCTATGTATTCGTTTTTCAGAAATGTCTAATGAAGGAAGGAAACAATGAATGAATGCCCTTATTCCTCTTAGAGTGCTGGGACATGGTTTTGCCTGAAAACTTCATGTGAATTTTATATTTTGCTACACATTACACCCATCTTAGACTTATACGTATAAGACATAAGGCATATCTTATGTCTTACATGTATAATAATCTAAGCAGAACAAAAAATAATGAAATATTTTCTTCCCCAAATTTTTGAGACAGATGGATTTTCCGGAAAGATGTGTTTAGCTTTTAATCCTGTGGTTTTGTGTACCACCTGGCACACTAGAGTGTTGCTCTAATTCAGTGAGTTGTAACTCTGGGTGAACAGTGGAAATACTAGGGTACATTTTAAAAATGCTAATGCTCGGGCCTCGCTGAAGACAAATTAATTGGAATCTCTGTGGGTGGCATTGATACTTTTTATAATCTTCCTAGATGATTCTAATGTGCATCCAGGGATGAAAACCACTGCTGTAGCTGGATACTTACTTTAGTTTGAGAAACACAGATGAGGTTATATTAGGCATCAGCTATTATTGTACATGTCTTCACATCTTATCTCTTTTGGAAATGTCCAAATTATTTCACTGGGACCTTAGAATAGTTGTTGGTACAATGGTAATCTGACTGCAGAGAAATGTAAACTTGGTCCACCCTGAAACACAAGCATGGTGTGTAGCCACATCAGATCCTGAATCAGCAGCATACGAGCTATTGATCCTAAAATTGAGAAACAGAACTCCTATTTCTTAATATCTTGGACATTATTTTTCCCTATGGTAACTTCTTACAAATAAAGAAAGTTTCAATTTGACAAAATCCAAATTGTTGATTTGGGGAAGTATTTAATAGTTACAATTTTATCAGTTTGAATTTAAAAACTCTACCAAATTCTTCTACAATATTTTCAGTATTTGCTGAAAGATGACATCCCCCTTGCCTTAATCATGTGCCAGATTACTCGTAAACCTGGACCATATGCCACTGCAATTTGCTGATGGGCCCAAGCTGTTTTGGTAGATAAAAAATCCAAGGGGATTAGAATGGCTCAATCCTTACTGTGAACAGAGCAACGGCATAGGGCAGCTGTATGCTCTCTTCTCTCTCCTTGTCCACACAGCCCCTCTATTTTCTCAATTTAGGTCATTGATAACCCAGACCTGAAATTCACATCAATGCCCACAAAAATGTATTTTGCTCTAAATAAGGCCTTTCTTTAGACACTTAAGACAGAAACCAAATGTCGGAGACACACACATCATGCAAGGGATGGAATATAAATTTTTGTTTGTAAAAGTAGTAAATGTTTCCCCAGTTTTGGCTTCAGGATGGTCCTGGGGTGAAAAACACTTTTAAATTGATGAGTGACATAAAGAATCTTTTTCCCTTACTTGGCTCCTGTTTTCTGCTCAGCATGGTTAGTGGTGTTATTCTCTGTCACCAGTGTTTACAAGACTACAAAGTTTTTTTGTTGTTGTTTATAATAAAATGAACTTCTGTGACACTTGAAATCAGAATCAGATGGTTGATTAAATTATTAAAATTTAAAATAAACTTTGGGAAAATGTAATTTTCTGGAAGACATTTTCCCATACTTCTACTTTTCCTTTCTAGTACAAGAAGAATTTCCACAAATAAGGAAGTCATTGTGATTTATTTCTTGTGTCTTGAGATCCATTTTCCTGATAGCAGCCATTCATTTTAAATGTCTGACATGGTTTCTTTAAATATAAAGCAATAAAACATATTGCTTTGAAGTATTCTAGTTATTCAGACTGCTAAGATTGCTTTATACAAATATCAAACCATGAGAAAATGCTAATTATTCAGAATTCTATGTTACTATTGAATAATTTGCACATTGCACAGTTATGTGTAGGTCTTGGAGGCTAGAATAATTGAAGTTTATAGTTGGAACCATTTTAGAAGTTCATCAAACCACATTTGAATTATCTCTGTGTTATCCCCCTGCTCAATTCAAGAATACTGTCTAAATTTTTCTAAAAATCTTATCAGAAACTTCTAGTGATGAGGAATGCAAGAGAGGCATTCTTATTGTTGGTTTGAACCTTCCTTCCTATAATTTTGATTCAATAGTTCTGCCTTTGAGAGCTCAGCAGAATAATTTTAATTTTGTTTTTCTTCATGATAACCTCTCAAATACTTGTTTGAGAGGCACACTTCTAGACTCATAAATTTAACAGCCATGATGGCCAATTTTATAAATGCACTTGCCACTCACTCTATACAGGGAACAATGTTGTCACTTAGAGGCCCAATCACATCATCACAAACCGGCCAATATCCATATATGTGTCCCAAATTGTCGTCCAGTCATTAATGACTAAAAGTATCTTCCCAGCAGTTAAAAAGGGATTGTGTTCTCTTGCGAATCCTGCTTATTCTCTTTTTATTGAACATAAAGTATGGCTTATTTAAAAGACATGACATCGCATCGTGAAAAGGGACTCATATACCTTTCACATTCCCCGTGGTGGAGAGTTCTTTCTTAATTACACATTAAATTCTTATATTGTCTCTTAGTCAAGTTTCTTTTTGTTGAAGTTGGCATAAACATAAGAAACAGAGGGATTATTACTATTATTTTGTATTAACAGGACTCCAGTATAGGACTGACAGGATTCAAGCAGTGTAACCAGGATTTCTCCGGGTCTCTCATCTCTGTTGGTCTCATTTACTTTCACTCCAGATAAGCTTTCTTCATGTTGCAAATGACATGGTCATAAATAGCCTCCTTGAGTTCATGTCGTCCCATTTCAGTGACCCTATGGGAACGGAAAAGTTCCTGTAAGCCCTTGCATAAAAAATTACATATATACATACCATGGCCATAGGATGTGATACCATGATTGATGAAGTCAGAATCACATGCCCAGGTTGTACCCAGGTCCCAGTAACTGGCTTCTTCTCTGATCTCTCCATCCCTTTTGTCCTCTTCTGCCCCCATCTAAATGCCATAAATGCTGCCTTGGCTTCTTTCTCATTTCAGCAGTTCACTTTTCTGTATCTTTTTTCTTGTAGTACGATTCTTACCAAAATGAGTATTTATGTCTTAACTTTTCTGAAACTTAGTTCAACAACTATAAAGTCAGATAACAATACCTATAAGTACTGTTACATAGTAGATTGTTGAACAAATATAAGTTCTCACTTTTCCTTACGTTTATATTAGGAAAAAGTTTTAAAGAAGGTAAATATATTGACATGGAAAGTGATATTGTATGATTAAATGTACACATAATTAATGTGAATGCTGTGAGCTTAAAATTTGAAATTTCCCAGTGATTTTTGGAATTTTTAAGTTGGAAAAATATATTTTTGAACTTACAATGTGTCTACTGTTGATTTCTGTCCCTAAAATGACCTAAAAGTTGAATACATTTATGAATACGTATGTATTTAAATTCAGAGATCAATTATATCATTACGCCCACAAAAATGTTCTGTTATATGGAAAGATTTAAGGCAGAGTCATTTACAATGATTAGAAAACAAAATACAGAATTTATGATGCATGATCTGAGTTACACAAAATTTTTTATGATGCATGATCTGAGCTACCAATGTAAAAGATTCCAAAGGATCTTTTTGTCAGATAAGAGCTTAGCATTGCCAAGCTGTACAGATATATCTATTTAGTTTTGATAGTTAAATAAAGTACCACTAAATTTTTTTACATGTTAAAACATCTTAGGCAATTCTTATAAACAGAGTAAACGATGTGGGAAGTGTGAAATCACAAATGTTTTTACTCATTAGAGATGATGTTTTATAGTTTCATTACTTATGAGTTATCAGGCAGCTGTAACTTGTAAAAATGATTTTCATATATTCCTAAATATTATGTATTTTCTCTTTATTTTTGAAAACATGTAAATATGCAAATGCACATATTGAGAGAGTTTTTTTTTTATATTTAGTTGGTTATACCAAGTTGTTAAAATAGGGTTTTAAAATTCATTTGTCAAGACATCCCAACCATGGTATAACTGAACATGCTACCAAAATTATTTATGTTCTTACTTCTTCACAAGAAGGGTCACTTTTCCAGAGGCATAACAAACTGGCAGGTTGGGGTATAGAGAAACGTCAATAATGTCAAATACTTTTTTCACTTGAAGTATAGCAAATTGACCATAATTTTTTTTTTTAACCAATGGGCTAAGTCAAAGGGTTAAGCAAATAGAGAAATGGAAATCTGTTTCAAACCTGTTTCCACACAATCACTTCAAAGAAGTGCATAGAGGCAGTGTTTTCAATAGGTTGTAAGAACTAGGCTGGCTTTTGGTATGAAAAAATCTATTGTGTCCATTGTAATCTGTGTAGGGTATGCCCTACCTCGCATATTCTTAAGTCATATTTTTACTCCAGTTATTGTGGCAGGAACCAGTAGTGTGCAGTTGTAACCTGATAGAACCTCAGCTACACAGTAATATCTGTGCCTGCACGGAGTAGGGTGAGACAGAAATGTTAGCTAATGCCAAGTGCTATGGAGGAAAGTAAGACAAGGAAGAGGAAGAAGAGCACTAGTGCGGAGAGGGGGTGGGTGCAATTTTCAAAATGTGATCAGTGAAGACCTAACTGGGAATGTAATATTGCAACAAAGACCTGAAGGGAGAGAGAGAGTAAGCCTCTCTGAGGGAAAGAGCCTTCCAGGCACGGAAACAGTACAAAAGCTCCAATACAGAAGTATGGCTGGGATGTTCATGAACCCAAAGGAAGCCAGTGCTCCTTCTGTAAGAGAGTTAGCCAGAGAGACAGAAGAGTGGGAAAGGAGGTGAGAGGGAAAATGGTGCCAGGATATAGAAAGCCTTCTAGGCCTTTCTAAGGATGATGGCTTAGACTATGATGAGACAGGAACTCAACAGAAAATTTTGCAAGAAGGACTGACATGATCTGGCTGATGTGTTGGAACTAGGCTGGAAGGTATGTGGACTTGTGAAAGTACAGACAAAAGTACAGACAAAATTCTTCATAATTATTCTTGAAATAATTCAGTGAAAAGATTATACTGGTTTTCTAAAGGGTAGAAGCAATAGATGGAGGCAGATAAGGTGAGAATCTAGATATATTTAGCAGGTAGAACCAATAGGATTTTCTAGCAGGCAAGATGTGAGTCAACTGACAGAGAGAGGAGTGAAGGATAACTTCAAAGTTTTAACTGAGGATTGAGAAGGAACAAGTTGCTATTAACTGAGACTGAGAAGGCTTTGACAATTGGTAAGTTGGGGATAAAATAAGTTTGAGATACCTATTAGACATCAAAATGGAAATATAAATTAGGCAATAGGCTAAGTATATGTGTCTAGAGTTCAGAAGAGTTCCTGGAATGAATTGTAAGCCTGGGAATCATCATCATGGAGATGGTACTTAAAATAAAAAAAACTAGATGAATCCTAGAGGTAGTATGTGTATGGAGAAAAGAGAGGAGGTCTGAGGACTGAGCTTCGGGTCACTCCATTGTGTAAAAGTTGAGGAATAAGGAGAAACCTGCAAAGAAGCCAGAGGAGAAGTGGATATTGAGGTGGAGAATAACGGAGAGAATGTGAAATCTTGGCGGCCAGATGAAAAGAGTTTGAACGGTGTCAAACACTGAAGAGGGAGATGAACGTTGAGAATTAACCATTGAATTTAGCAATGTGGAGGCCATTGGTGACCCTGAAGACCAGTCTCAGTAGAATGGTATGGGAAAAAGTCAGAAGGAGTTCAAGAGTTAGGGAAAAGAAAATTAAAAACTGTGAACACAAACAACTTGTAAAGAGAAGACCAGAGTGAAGTAGCTATAAGGGGGCCCAGGAGGTCAAGAGAAGAATTCTTCTGCTAATATTGGAGAGATAAAAATATGCATGTACACTGTTAGAAACTATTTGGTAGAGAGGGAAAACTATGATGCAGAAGAAGAGAAAGAACTGATAGAGCTAGGTACTTGAGTAGGCAAGAGGTCATGCAATCCAGGGTACGAGGGACCTTTGATAAGAGCAATTTGTACAAAATTTCAGGATGACAGGAATCTGGGAGGAATGTATTGGGCATGAAGGCAGAGAGGTGGTTAGATGTGGTGATGCAAGCTTGTGGGAGCTGTCTCTTCATTGTTTTTATTTCCCTTGTGAAATAAGAAGCAAGATTAACAGCCAAAGTAAAGATGGGAGAAGAGATGCTGATGTGTGAGGATAGAGAAGGAAGTTAGAAATGGTCCTCTAGAAATGTGGGAGAGTGAATACACTCAGAAAATGTATATAGTTTCCGAGCAACGCTAGGGGCCCATTTGACAGTGGGGCATATACATTTAAGTTGGGTGCTTTTTTCCAGCCATGTTCAGCTGAGTGTAGGTGCAGAGTAATCAGAGTTGAACGTAATCCAATTGAGGTTTTTGCAGCCTAAAATGATAAAATGAGAGAGGTGCAAGAGAATTGAGTTGTACACAAGAGTGATTTTCATAATAGTGGTTTTATATTAGATAGATACATGTTTTTGTTCAAATGAATTCTCTCATCTGACGTTAGGCTTTCTATTGGAGATATTACATTTTATTCATCTAACTACGAAATCCCAGAATCCTTTTTTATATTTGCCCCCTTGTTATCCAAATACACTCAATCACCAAGCAGCAGCTGCCCTATCATTCCTGTCTTCATCAATTTCACTGCCACAGAAGGTAAATATAGGACCTGACAATGCATAGAGGAAACAGTGCAGGGTAAGGTGAGAAAAGCAGTCTAGGGTTACAGTATGAGGGTTCTGGAATTCTGGGTTAAAGAACAGCATTTTTTATTAAATGGGGGAGCCCAGGGACTTCTTACATGGTGACAGTCTTCCCAAAGTGAGCAACCCTAGAGAACCAGGAGGAAGGGGCATAGCCTTTTATGATCTAACCAAACAATTCTGGGTTACAGAGTAATATTCTTAATTACACAAGACAGCATTGATTCTCTTTGATATGATTTGGCTATGTGCCCACCCAAATCTTACCTTGAATTGTAATAATCCTCATATGTCAAGGGTGGGGCCAGGTGGAGATAACTGAATCATGGGGGCAGTTTCCCCTTTAATCTTCTCATGGTAGTGAATAAGTCTCATGAGATCTGATGGTTTTATAAATGGGAATTCCCCTGCACAAGCTCTCTTGCCTGCCACCATGTAAGACGCGCCTTTGCTTCTCCTTTGCCTTCCGCCATGATTGTGAGGCCTCCCCAGCCATGTGGAACTGTGAGTCCATTAAACCTCTCTCCTTTATAAATTATCCAGTCTTTTGTATGTCTTTATTAGCAGTATGAAAACAGACTAATATACTCTTTCAATAAAGTGAATCTTAGTATCACACATGCTTTAGAAGAATTAATTTTCAAATTAAATGATACTGGGGAGAGATCAGAGGTATGGATAAAAACAGAAGGCTTTTATATTTGTTCAAGATAGGAGATAATACTAGTTAGAAATACAGTAGTAGCACGCAAATGGAGAGAGGGTGACTGACGAAAAGATATTGTAGAGAAAAAAGAGTCTTGACACCTAGCTGAAGGTGAGTATCAGGGAGAGGAAGGAAGTTAAAACTGTCTCTCTGCATGATTGCCATACTTTGCTCATGAATTCCTGGTCGGGAATTTTTGGAAGGGCTTAGCTAGACAGTTGCTTTGAGTCTCTCATCCAGGTGCAATCAGATGAGCACTGGGGCTGCAGTTACCTGAAGATAAAGTTGGAATAGACATAAAAGATAGTTCAACTACATGCTGGCTGCTGGCTGCTGGCTGCTGGCTGCTGCTGGGAACTCAATTAGGATGGTTGCCTTTATAGACTACATATAGTCTTTCTTGGATGGTTGGACTTCTTCCATGGCAGCAGGCTGCCCCAGAGTGAACGCCCCAAGAGAACCAGGGACCTCAAAGCCTTTTCTTACCTAACCTCAGAAGTCACACAGCTTCATTTACATCATACTCCATTGGCCAAACCAGTTGTAAGTCCTCCTAGATTCAATGGGAGGAGATTATAGACCACCACATTCTTGGGAGAAGTATCAAAGAACTTTCGGCCATTTAAAAAGAAATGTCCCTCCCACAGTAAAATGGGAATAGCTTATTACACTTGTCCATTTTGCTCTTTCCCCCAGATGACTATTAACTAATTATTTATACCTAATTAACACATTCATCCTGAAAACTTTCAATCTTGGCTCTGCAAATTACTAGCTGTGTGAACTTGGAAAAATTATATAATATATCTATTCCTCAATTTTCTTCTCTGGAAAATGGGAATACAGTAGTGCCTACCTCATAATATTGTTGTGAGGATTAAATGAGATAGTATATAAAAAGTCCTTACTTCTTCTTATGGTAAGCACTCAGTACATATGAGCTGTTAGTTTTTGATGAGCATGGTCAAGCAGATTCAAATAGAGAGATTCTAATGGAATGTTCTCACCATATTTATTAAGCACTAAGTATGAGTAAGGATTCCATGCATACTAAAACATATTCCCCAATCTTCCAAATAATCCTTCAGAGTTGTGTTTTTATTGCTGATTTACAAATGAGAAAGCTGGGCCTCAAAAACATTACACATCTCCCTGTATAAATCACAGCCAGTAAACTTACACAGTGGAAACTTGAAATGATCAAGGAATAAATTAATGGTTTTGCAAAAAGCTTTGCTCTAAAGAGGCATCAGCAAACTCCAGCCTACTGCCGGTTTTTGTAAATAAATTTTATCAGCACACAGCCACGCCCATTTGTTTACATATTTTCTATGGCTGCTTTCACACTTCAACAGCAGTGTTGAATAATTGCAACAGGAACTTTATGGCCTACAAAGGCTAAAGTATTTACTATCTGGCCTTTTATGGGGAAAAGTTTGCTAACTTCTGCTCTAAAACATAAAAGAAAGTGTCCTAAGAGGAAGTTTTTGAACTGACTGTGGCCTTTGCTGAGTAACTGAACCACATAACATGTAATGGAAATCTATAATATTTACAGAGTGATATGTATAAAAAGGCCAAATTTCTCAGTGAAATTAGAGAGCAAATCTTACCCTTCATTCCCTACTTCCAGAGATGTTCCCTAACACAAGACAAAAATACATGAACTGCACCCGGATTTAAACATTAATTTTGGGATGTTTGCCAGACCAGATGGTTAGAAAAGCTAAGTACCATTGATTTATTTCTTACCCTTTAGAAAGCAACATTAGAGACAACGGACCTTATCAGAACAAATGGGAATAAACAACAGAATGCAGATCAGAGGAGAATTAAGAACAAATGCTATTGGATTTTATTATGCTATAATTAATTTTGTATGTAGAAAAAGCACTAATTATTAGTAAATTGTAAACTGCATCAACCAAGCTTTAATGTTGTATATTACATTATGACTATAATTTGCAGTACCCCGAGAATGTTCTCTTCTTGCAAATGCAATTAATCATCTATCAAATATATTTTCAGTATTTAGTAAATGTTAGAAGCTTGGAAAACAGAGATTAATAACACTTGATCTCAGCAAGCATTATTGCCATACAGTAATGATTTCCATTGTAAAGGTGTGACAGTGGCTTTTACATTCTCTTGGATCAGAGACCCTACTGAGAATATGATCACAGCTGCAAATCCTATTTCCAGGAAAAACAAAATGTGCACTGGTACTCACCAAGAAAATATTACATACAATCGCAAGAGGGTTTAGATTTCCTGCAGGTCATTCATGCAATCCACACAGGCTTAACCTCAATTTTAGAATCTTTGTGGTATAGCATGGGCACAAATGAAAGAGTGAGGCAGTGTATATGTATTTAGTGTGTGTGTGTGTGTGTGTGTGCGCGCGTGTGCATGTGTGAGTTGGGAAGGAAGATAAAGCTTCAGAAAGAAGTTGGGTCTTAGCTTCTTCTTCAGGAGATTAAGATGGAAAAATATTTTCTAGGTAGAAGGACTGGCTTATGGAAAAGTAATGAGATGTGATTTGGCAGGGGAATTCAGCAAATCAAGGCAGTTTAGTGTGAATGACACAACTTTAGAGTGAAAGAATAAAGCTTTGGAAGAAGAGGCAGGAAAGAGGCTAGAGATTGGATCACAGAAGTTTTCGAATATTACATCAGAGTGACGGTCTTTTATTCTTGATGGATCATACAGCCCTAAAGGGGATGCACACTGTAAGACATGCCATTCACCAGAGAACATTTAAGGCCATATATTTGTTTCAGCCTGGTTGTTTATTGTTTATTTTCTCTTTTCTGTGTTTCTTTTTTTAAAATTAAGTATGTGCTAATAAACAAAGATCCTTATGTGTAACATATCATAGAATTTATTTTAATTTTGTAGCAATCCTGATGAGTAGATTTTATTTTACCTGTTTTACCAGCAGGAAAACTGAGACCTATAGAGGTAACTAACAGGATCAAGCCCACATAGATGAAAGTGGCAAAGCTGAGAATTAAATATCTTTTTTTTTTTTCTGACTCCAGGTTCTATACTTTTTCCCCTGGGCTAAGATACTGAGCCTAATAATTTTTTTTCCATAAAAATAACTGATAATCTCTGGCTAATGTAGAACACTACCTTAGAGCCAGTCAGATTATTAATTAAAATCATACTTTAAAAAAGTCCAAGAATTTTGAAGGGAATAGGATTTGTTTCTCTTTTCAGTAATCCCTTTACCCTTACCAGCCCTTATTTAGTTTTTTATTTTGGTAAAGAAAAAGTTGGAGGTAGGCTTATAGCTGGGGTTTAACTGAGCAATCTGGATAGACTGGAAAGGCTAAGACCTGGATTACAAGGTGCTGGGAATTTCTTTCCATCACAAATTCTAAGCAACAGACAAAATTGCAGTGCAATAAAGAGACAATAACTTAAGAATTTTAAAAAAATGTTTTAAGTCTTCTCCTACAGGAGTGAAAATATATAATGACATAACCACAATGTGAAGAAGGCATTGATGGCCAAGGAATAGCAGAAACTTGAAATAGTTGCAAATACAGTCTTCTCCAGTATCAAGTATGGCTTGGAAGTCTCTCTCTTAGCTTTGCTTTTTGGCATAATCGATAATTTCTAGATGGCCTTCCCAACATTTGAACCTAGTCAGCTCATCAGTTCTTATTGAAACTACATACCAATTAAATACCACAGATTTTGTGATGATAGAACAAGGAGGAAGGGGCAATGCACAAGTGAATTTTGGTTGGGATAAGATTTAGAACACTGTCATGAGGAACATCAGGCTGAGGCATGGCACAAGGCGTGACACTTTAACATCAGATGAGTGCCACTTAAGGATATTCAAAATCTAATAGAAAAGGAAAAGATGATGATTGAAAACGTCAAAAGGGAAGAGGCTTCAGTGGATGAATCTGGTTTGGTTTGTAATTGTGCTCAGGGCCTGCTCTGATTATAATACAATACGACTCATCCCTTGGTAAAATAATTTATAATGAAGCTCGTGGAATCATACTGACAAGAAAGGAGGGAAACATCAAAGGCACCTCCTCATATGCCATAAATGACAGGAAGAACATCTGGAACAGAACATGCTGGGTGCTGTTTGTCTGTGTGCCCCCTTCTGTGAGGAGAACCTCTTATCCTGTTAACTTAGAGCCAGGCAAACCACAGCTCTGTTTACATGGAAGTTGCTGTGACCTTCCCGGCATGCCTTCCTGTCAGCTGGATCCCAAGCATAGCCCCATTTCACAGCCTTGCATCATTTTCTCGGAACACAGCCATGTGGAGAGGGAACAGCTGGGAAGGGATGGCTGAAAAAATCCCCAAGGATTCTATAGAGGGTCTAGAAATCCTCTTTTTACCAAGTAAACTTAAGGATCCTGAGGTTACTTTTATCAAACACAATGTCAGTGTGAGGAGAAAGAAAAACAACAACAAAATGCAAGTTTGAGTGATGTGACCACATTGCAGGGCAAAAAACTTTTGTAAACAAGGCTTAAAGTTTTGTATATGTTTTAGCATTTGGTTATGTGATGACACACATGTTTACCAAAGCCTAAGAACAGATACTCTTGATACAACAATAGGGCATAAAGTCCTGAGAAAATACATACATTCCCATTGTGTTTTAATCATTGAAATCCATATTTTAAGGGTTCTTTCAATGGTTCAGTGTCACTCTTCACATTGTCACTCATTTTTTTAAAATCTCATTTTTTAAAAAAATGATCCTTTAGAACTGTTGATGTATCCGTAATACAAAATGAAAGTATGTTTCAGTTGTTATCATGTAATTTTATCTTATTCCTCTATATTGAAATAACCAATGACTAACACATATCTCAGAGATACATGAGGCAATTTTTCCCCTCTATTTTGGCTCTTTAAATGAATTTCATTGCTGCTTTATAATTCACAAGCTGGGTGTTATTGTGAAAATTTTTAATCTCTCTGTGCCTGAGTCATCACACCTACAAAATAGAGATGATATCAGAATCTACTTCACACAGTTGTTTGAGAATTAAATAGAATAATATATGTAAAATACTTAGCAAAGTGCTTGTGACATAGAAAGTCCTCAGTAAGTGCTACCTATAATAATCTTTATCATCATCATAATTCATTCAAATGAATATCATTTAAATAATGATAGCCTCTCTTCTAGTGGGTCAAGGACACACTAATTTTAAAATAAGTTTTATGTTTATGATAGCATTTAACTTCTGTTATTAATTTCACAGTTATCACTACTATCTAATTTGAGAAAACAAAAAATGTCAGCACCCTTCAAATTTAGTTAGTAAGGGAGTTATAGATAATGGGGAGCTTTTGGAAAACTTATCTCAAACTCTAAAAATGTTCAGTTTTAACTTTCAGGCATGATAAAATATTTGAATTGTGACAAATCTGAAAATCTCAATAACTAAAGTTTGTTATTTGCAATCATATTTGCAATCATATACTTCATCTAACCTTTAAAACTAATGTCAACACAGAGTTTTGAGGTTTTAAAATTTGTTTATTCAAAGAAAACCTGGAAGCGTGTATCCCACTGTGAAATGCTCAAAAAAATATGCCAAGCAGAGGAAGTTGAAAACAATGTTTGTGAATTCTGAATTCATCTTGTTTGCTATGTTTTACGGCACCAGATTCTCAAGCTTTTTGAGAAATGCTCAGAGATGAGTGGAAAGTGTTTTAAAATCAGAAATGACATGTGTCAGTGTCTATCTTCCATAGCAGGGAGACTTCCCTTTGTGTAAAGGGCAGCCAAGCATTGTCTTTGGCTCTTCTTGCACGCATCCCGATGACATAAATGGGAGGGTCAGATTGAAATCTTTCCAGACTTGGATACATCATGTTTTGAACTCTTTAGATCTAGATATTATGATAATTTCCAGGCTTAGAATTAGAAATAATGAGAATTAAATGCCCTCATTAGGTACTTTTCTAAAGGTTTCAAACATAACTTAATTGGGCCAACTCCTGATGTAATAAACAAGGAAAGTTTCCCACATCCCTGTGTAGAAGTATACTGCATCAACATGATTAATATTTTCATGTTCCAGAAATTCTTTTACTTTGGCTTACCATGACCTTAGATTCCCTAATAGTCACTTGTTTACATATTTTTTCTATTTTAAATTATTTTATTTTATTTTTGTGGGTACATAGTAGGTGTATATATTTATGGAGTACACAGATGTTTTGATACAGGCATACAATGTACAACAAACACATCATGAAGAATGGGGCATTCATCCCCTCAAGTATTTACCCTTTGTCTTATATCAAGTGAAATAATCCAGGCCTAACAATCATTTGTTTTAGACATCCTCTGAAACCAGATTCTAAGATAAAGCTTCTGTAGAGGTAGTTTATTTATGAAGCAATCTTTGAAAGCAAGAAGTGGTGAAAGATTGAATAGGAAAGAGGAAAAGCAAATGCAATAATGCATTATTGAGTCTGCCACAGCAGCAGTGCCCAGTTCTATGGGTCACTGTGAAGAGTTTTATGGTATGCGCTTCAGAATTGGTCCAAAAGGAGTAGAGAAGATATCCTTCCTTTAGCTTCTGTGTCCCATTGGTCAAGGAACACCTCGCTGATATTTACTCCCTTGCACTTCTGAATGATGCATTAAGTTCTTGCAGAATTTCCATGTGGGCACATCAAACCAACCAAACAAAACCCAGCTGGAATTGAGAGATATTTAGCCCAGGCCTGTATCAAGTGCTGTCAGGTTGCACTTTTGGGAAACTAATTGAAACCTTCAAAGAACTGATCAACACCGCAGTCTTGGAGTAGGCTATAAAGAAGATTCGAAGTAGAGCCCAAGAGGTATCATTCCTTTTACCTACAGTTCATCTCTTTCACCTCTCAGTTATTCTTATTCCCTCCAGTCCATCACAGAATCTTTTTCAAGGTAGTGGCCAAACTTGCAAGGATTTAATAACAGAGTTGAACTAATAGTAGAGTTGAATGAACTACAGTCATCACTAGTCATAGCTAGTCCTAAAGCCACGATCAATATTTTCTCTTTTCCACCATCTATTTTGAATTTTCCTTATATTTGTCCAGTAGCTGGTCTAGTTGTATGCCTTGTAGAGAGATCCCAGAACTAAGGGTTTGAAGCCCTAGTTTCCTTGCCCTTGCTGGACTGTGGTCACTGAAGTTGCTGATTCTGTTATCACTGAGTGTAGAAGCTCCAAAAGACATCCCAGTGAGTCTCCTCCTTTCCAGATACATTCTTGCTTGATCTCAATGTGTAACAGCAATTCTAATTCCTCATGGAAATCAAGGTCAATTATTATCCCCAGTGTAGTTAACTCTTTGTCTGCTGATCCTCCAGCATGATGAGTTCAGCACGACCAGTGATAGTCATAGCTTCAAGCATAGTAGAACCCTTAAAGTGATACACTGATGGAAGCAGTCCATCCTAGGAAATAGGACTTCTAATACAACCTAAAATGGCAGTGACAGGAAGCACATATTCTGAAAGTGAGCCACTGAGAGTGATGGTGAAAATCACCAACGCTACTTCTACCTTTGGTTTCCAAACCTGTGTACATTTTCTACTGGGGATACAGGACTGGGAATGGGCTATTGGTTCAGAGTATAAGCCACATTCTAAGGGACTGCATCCCAACCTCACAAGATGTTATCCTTGAGCTGTTGCCTTTGCAAAGCCACTTAACATCATATCCTATTGTTTCATCAGACTAACTGCTTCTGGGTGATGAGGTGTCTAATAGATCCAATGGATTCTGTGAGTATGTACACATTCTTACATCTTCTTTGCTGTTAGTGTCTACTAGTGTGAGGCAATGTTGTATGTAATACCATATCAATGGTTCAGGTAAATAATAGTAGTGTTGGAAAAATTTTCTCTAGGTATGAAATGAAAAGCCAGATTTCAATTGAAATTAGACAGTTGGATAGTCTCAGGGATGGTGTCACATTGCTGCTAGTGTTAAGGCATTCCATAGAGGCAGTAACTAGATCATTTGTGGTAAGTGAAAGCCCATGCTATTTAGTCCTCTATCCCCATTTAGTTCTGTATCTCATTATGTCAGGGTTATCCTCTATCCTTGAGTCAATAGCCATTTCATTCATGACTCATTATGTCCGCAAAAATGTGGCTGAGTAAATAAGATGGTTGACACCCAAAGGAGGGATCATCTTGTCCAGTTGGTTGTTGGGTGCCTATTCTGTGATGGATGCTCTTCAGTGGGTATTAATGTGAGTCATGATATTTGCATATTCACATACTCTGTGCCCACTTCCATTATTTTATCCACTTCCTTCTTTTCCAGACTTCTATGCCTCTGATCTTTGATTATTGTTCCTTCAGGTGCAGGAGTCAATGCCTGAATTGGGACAAGAGGCCCAGACTTTTATACCACTTCAAGTGCTAGTTTTTGAGTGAGCCATCTTTGACATCAAGTCCAGTTGGGCTTTCAGATAACTGTAGTTTCAGCCAACATCTGAGTACAACCATTTCAGAGCCCCATAGAGTAAATGGTCTAGCCAAGCCCTAGCCTAACAAATGAGGGACAAAGTGAAGTGTTTGCTTCTATAGGTTGGGGGTAATTTGTTAGGCACCAAAAAAACTAGAATCGGTTACTATGTGCCAAGTACTCTGCTCCATCTCCATGCATTATCTCAGTCAACATCTTTACTCCTGACAACACTGCAAAATAAGTGTTATTTTCATTTTAGAGATGAGGAAAGTAAGCTTCAAAGAGGTTAACATTCTTGCAATGCCATGCAGCTAAGAAGAGAAAGAGGTGAAATTCAAATCCAGTCTAACTGTTACCTGAGAAATAAGATTAAAAGAAACAAATTTACAGAGTAACGCCCACTCTTTAAGCAGGAAAATAATTGGCAACATACATGATATTAATTGATTTAGAAATACCCATGTTCAATAAAATAATTACAACATCTTCTAGAGTTCAGCATGCGCAGGCTGGAAATGAAAAATTTGGCTGAGAGGGCCCTAGTGAAAAACAAATTTAACTATTACCATATGAATGTTGTTGCCTGAGTAGTGTTGATGCCAAATTGCTGAGCAAAAGGTATTGGAAATAATCTGTAACAATTTTTGTAAAGATGTTTTGGCATGAAAATGAGGAGCCATTTTATTTTGAAATACTGAAAAGCATGAGTGAAAACATAATTAGTATCTATAAAATGTGAATAAATAGAGTGCTTTGCTTTAAGTGACCTTTGATGAATTTTAGTTCTTTCTTTCTTTATATATTTTTTTCTTTTTGAGACAGAGTCTCACTCTTGTTGGCCAGGCTGGAGTACAGTGGCACACGATCTCAGCTCACTTTAGCCTCTGCCTCCTGAATTCGAGCGATTCTCCTGCCTCAGCTCCCGAGTAGCTGGGATTACAGGCACGTGCCACCACACCCAGATAATTTCTGTATTTTTAGTAGAGAAGGGGTTTCACCATATTGGCCAAGCTGGTCTTGAACTTCTGACCTCAGGTGATACACCTGCCTCAGCCTCCCAAAATGCTGGGATTATAGACATGAGTCACTGCACCTGGCCAATTCTAGTTCTTTAATGTGCCATTACCTATTTAACCTAATCCCCCCAAAGGAGAAATCAGTTTCTTTCCTTATCATAGTTTATAGGTCTAATTTATCATGCTTTGTAGGTCTATTGTCAAAACAGAAATATCAAATTTCTTCAGTGGTTCTTTCCTATATCCTTCTATATAATATTTGGTACTTAGGGAATAGGTTGGATGTTCAGGTTAAATTTATTAGGATTTGATTTGCTTGATCCATGGTTGTCAAATGTGAGAGTGCATAGAGTGATCTTGGAATGCATAATAAAAACTGTAAATTCCTGGGCCACATTGCCAGAGATTCTGTTGGAAAGGCTACAGGTTGAGGCCAAGAGATCTACTTGTAAGGAAGACTCTTAGAATTTCTATTGCATATGGCCTGAGTATCATATTTGGACAAACATTTTCCTAGGTATTATGCCAGTAATTTCATTAACTGCCATCAGATTAGAGGATGCCAGTCACCATAAACTGCCAAATGTGTAGAGGTCATACATTTAAAGGTATATGCTTTCTAAAAAACAACAACAATGACAACAACAACAAAACTACACTACCTTAAAAAATATTCAAAATAAATTAAATCCCTAAAGTGTACATAAAATGATTATTATAACTACTTGGAATATTGCTTAAAATACAGTTATATCAAGATTTAAAGTTGTGCAACAACCTTAGCACAAAATGTTTTCTTTATAATATGGATGATATTTAGGTATAATTACATATTAATATGTAGTATATTACCTATAATATGTCATAATTATATAGAAAATATAACAGCTATATTACTATACATTAAGTAAAATAATTATTATTTAGTTTAACTTTGCTATCAGCTTAATTAAAATTGCCAGGAAACTTGCAAATATAGATAATAAAAAATAGTCAAGGTTTAAGCAGTTACACAGTACTCACAAGCTGACTATTTATTTATGTGTTCTCAATTGCCTAGAAGTATCAAAAGTCAATATAAAGTCTATATGTGTTTTTATTGCCTTAATAGCTCTTGGACTTGATTTATCTTTAACTATATATCCTTGTCTTTCAGGCTTTCCCTCCAGTAATTCTACATAGAATTTCCCCTCATCATCTGTGAAATAGTTATGCCTTATCTCAAAATGATCACGATCTGAAATGAAAAATACAAAGGACAGAGTCTTAAATTTTCCCTGAAGAATTCAATTTTTTATTAATTCAACAGCTAATCTATTAAGTAATCCTTATTACTAGACATTCCCTCAATACTAAGAATATAAAACAAAACAGAACATCTGCTCTCTAGGATACCTGTTAAAATAGTCCTCTGCACCTTGAAATCTTGAGTAAATTATCTCAATGTTTTTTGAAGGAATCAGTTTCCTCTTGTATCTTTTTTTTTTGCTATTAAATGAACTAGTATAATACATTAAGAGAAGGGGCTTTGAAGTCTGCATTTTTAAGAACTCTATTCAAATCTTCTCCCAGCAATGACTTGTACTATAGAATAATAACAGCTTTCTCATCTATAAACGTCTTTCTCATCTATACAATAAAAATAATAATGTTTCATCCATAAAGTTTTTTTCTCAAAGTAATTCAAAGACTAGTATCTATCTATCTATGTATCTATGTATCTATCTATCTATATTTTTTGAGAGTCCCACTCTTTTGCCCAGGCTGGAGTGCAGTGGTGCTCCCTCAGCTCACTGCAACCTCCGCCTCTTGGGCTCAATGAAAAATATACAGAAAGTAAAGAAATATTAATTTTAAAAAATCTACTAAATCTTGGCAAAAGCAGCAAGAGCTTGTGGTATTTGAACCAAGACACATTCCCCGCTTTGCCCTCCCACATCAGCAAGATGCAAACTCCACTCCAGATTTGTACAGCTAAGAACACAGGGTTGCCTCTAATCTCAGCTCCAGGTCAGAGTGCTATTCTCCTAGGAAGGGCAGGACATTAGCATTTCTCATGCTGCTCCTAGCTACTTGTTCTGAGGTTAAATTCTGTGTAAGTATAATTGAGAGATGAGAGCTCCTTCCTTCCCACCCCCACAACCTCAAGCCCCCCATGCATGGAACAGAGACTCTAACTCCTTGAGCATAACTGCACTAGAATATTGGAGCCTGTCTTTCCCTTGGCTTGTAAGGTAGAGATTCCAGGCTAAGAGAGGCAAGCTTATAAGGCCTGAAGCTACTGCCTGTGCCCTTCTATTCAGTATTCAGCTTCCAAAACAGTGGAACTGCTACTCAGAGAGGGAAATGCACATTATCCCTATGCCCAGGTCCAGAACTATGGCTCATAGATTTTGCCCAGGGTGGGAGAATCAGGCTATAAAAACAATCTGAATCTCTTCCCAAGAGGACTGACTTCATTTGCAATACAGTGGGGAAAATTTTAAGCCTAAATACGATCTCAAAAAAGTGGGGATTGTAGTGACAGGCAATTGGGAGAAAAGTGGTAGATTCTTTGGGGATATAAGCTAAAATATTGACTGGCTAGTTTGTCAGACAGAGCCACAGAAAGAGACAGCATGGAGGAACCCTTCATAGGCCAGACCAAATTTCAAACACTACCTCTGAAGCTATTCCTTCAAAGAAGTCTGCATTTGACTGGATCAGTCTGCTGAGAAATTCATACTCCAGCACATTGCTGAAAACAATAGAACAATAATCTGGCAATTATTGGGCTTAACAGCTGGGTGTGGTCAGGGAAAGAGTCAAGGAGATATCTGTCAAAACTACTGTCATTCTAGTGTGATCACAGACTCTTCAAGTCCAAAAAACAGCATTAGAAGTTCCCTGAGCAGGAAGGGGTTTGGTAGGTAACATACTTCACTAAAATAATTCAGTCAGTCACTAAACAAATAAAAATCAATAACAATTTCAAGCCCTGGAGGGGAGGAACAAATACCCAGAATTGCTATATTATCTATAATGTTCTTTGCAACAAAAGTTACAAGACCTACAAAGAAAAAGAACATATGATTCATATGCTGGAAAAACACCTCACATACTATAAACTACCTGTGTAAATGAGCAGATATCAGGTTTGACAAAGATTTCTAAATAGCCATTATAAATATCTTCAAAGAAAACTATGATAAAATAAGTAAAGGAAGGTGTAATGATAATGATGCAAGAAATAGAGAATATAGAGACAGATTTTTTTTAAAAAAAGAAACAAATGGTAATTCTGGATTTGAAAACTTAATTACTGAAGTAAAAAATTCACTAGAGAGGCTCAACAGTATATTTGAACAAGCAGAAGAAAGAATTAGTAATATAAAAAATTGATAAAAATTATGCAATCTGAAAAACAGAAAGAAAGGAACAAAAAGAGTATTTGAAGAAACAATAGCTAAAATATTACCAAATGTATTGGAAAACATTAATTTATGCATCTAGGAAGCTCAACAAATTTCAAGTAGGATGAATGTAAAGAGATTCACAGACAAGTCATTGTGAAAATGCTGAAAGCCAAAGGCAAGGACAAAAATCTTGAAAGCACCAAGAGAAAAGTGACTCATTATTTACAAGGGAACTTCAAGAAGATTAAAGTTAAATTCTCATCAGAAACAATGGAGTCCACAGATGGGAAGGGAGGTAAAGACAGGATGGATAACACAATCAAAGCACTCAAAGGAAAAAAAAAACCTTTCAACCAAGAATCCTATGTACAGCAAAACTATCAAAATTGAAATAGGAAAATGACATTAAAAGATAAACAAAAAGTGAACTGATTTGTTGTTAGTAGACCTACCTTACAAGAAATACTTAGGAAAATTTTTTAGGCTAAAAGCAAGTGACCTCATTTTTCTTTTCTTTGATTTCTAATTTTTTTTTACCGTAATATCTCACAAGACAGCCAAATATACTCCTGTAAAGACAAAAGTAATGCTAGTTCTGTGATTCTCTCTGCTCATATGAATCCATAAGCTGCCAGCAACAGACAGAAAGAAGCTCAGTGAGAAGTCTGACCTCATTTTTTGAATCCACACAGATAAACAAAGAGTACCTGAAAATGTAATTATGTGATCACAAGAGTATAAACACATATTTCTTCTCTTGACTGATTTAAAAGGCAACTGGATGAAACAAAATAAAATGTATACCATGAATATAGAAATGTAATACATTTGCCAATAACAGCACAAAAAAAGTGGGTGGAAACACAGCTCAATTAGGCTATGAAAGTGACTCCATATGGTAACTCAAATCTACAAAAACAAATAGATCCAGAAATGATAAATAAAAAGGCTAGTATAACAAAAGCTATAAATATATACTTGTTCTCCTCTCCTTTAATGGCTTCTTTAAAATGCTTAAATTATATTGAGTAATAATTATAATCATGAAATGTTGAGCTTGAGACATTTATAGAGTGAAATATGTATAATAATAGTATTATAAAAGAAGAAAGACAATGGTGCTACAAGAATAACATTTCTGTATCATATTGAAATTAAGTTAGTGTAAATCTGAAGCTAATTCAAATAAATTGAGATATATATGGAACAAGCACTAGGGAAATAACTCAATCTGTGTAGTAAAAAATCATTTAAAAATAGTATGCTACATAAGAAAATATTCATTTAATGCAAAGAACATAGTAAAGGTGAAATAGAGGAGCAAAAACAGTACAAAGCAGAAAACAAAAGTTAAAATGACAGATGTAAACCCAACTGTAGCAATAATAACATTAAATGTAAATGGATTAAATAATCCTATCAAAACACATAGATTGTCAGACTGGGTTTTAAAGAATAAGATCCAACTTCATGTTCTCTGCAGGAGACACATTTTAGATTCAAAGATACAAATATATTGAAAGTAAAAGGATGGAAAAGATATCATGCAAAGAGCAACCCCAAGAAAGCTACAGTGGCTATAGTAATATCAGACACAATTGATTTTAAAACAAAAAAAATTGCTAAAGAGTGAAATTTTATGTGTCAATAAATCAGAAGACTATAATAATTATAAATTCATATCCACCTAACAAAGCACCAAAATACATAAAGCAAAAACTGACAGAAATGAAGGAAGGCCAGGTGTGGTGGCTCATGCCTGTAATCCTAGCACTTTGGGAGGCCAAGGCTGGAGGATCCTTTGAGGTGAGGAGTTTGAGAAAAGCCTGGACAACATAGTGAGACCTTGTCTCTACTAAAAATTAAATTATATTTAAAAAATAAATGAAGGAAAAATAAATGATTGGATAATATTAGATAAAGATCTCAATATCCCAGTTCCAATAAAAGATAGAATAGGCAGAGGATCAACCAGAAAATATAAAAGTAAAATGAAAATATAAACTGAGTGAACTTAATAGACATATATAGAATACTTCACCCAACAGCAGAATATATATTCTCTACAAATACATGTAGACCACTATCCAGTGTAGATCATATGCTAGACCATAAAACAAAACTTAATAAATCTTAAAAGATAGCGATAAAACAATATATGTTCTTTGACCACAATGGAATGAAACAAAATGGGCAAACTCATACTTATGGGAACTCTAAACAACATGTGTCTTATTAGCGAATATGTCAAAGAAGAAAACATAGGGAAATTAGAACATATTTGAGATAAGAGAAAATGAGGAAACAACCCACGAAAACTCAGGAGAGACAGTAGAGCAGTGCTTAGAAGGAATTTATAGCTGTAATTGTCTGTGGTAAAATAGAAAAAAATTCCCAACCAATAACCTAACATTTCAACTTAAGACACTGGTAAAAAAGAGGAAATTAAGCCTAATGCCAGAAGAAGGAAGAAAATAATAATAATTAAAGTGGAAATTAATAAAATCAAAAATAGAAATACAATAGGAAAAATTTGTAAACCAAAAGCCAGTTATTTGAAAATATCAATAATGTTGACAAACTTTGTCAAGATTGCTCAAGAAAAAAGAGACTAAGAGAAGATTGAAATCACTAATCAGATTTGAGAGGGGACACTACCATCAACTCTACAGAAATAAAAAGAATTATAAAGAAATACTATAAAATATTTCATGCTAATAAATTAGACAGTTTAGATAAAAATGGACAAATTCTCAGAAAGACACAAAATATGAAGACTGACTCAAGAAGAAATAGACAATCTCAATAGACCTTTAAGTGAAGCAAATGAATTAGCAATCTAAAAATTACACACAAAGAAAGGCCTAGTCTCAAATTGCTTTACCACTGGATTCTACAAAATATTTAAAGAATTTATACCAAATCTTCACATATTCTTTCAAAAAATAGAGTAGCAAGGAACACTTTTCAGTTCATTTTGTGATGCCAGTATGATACTGATACCAAAACCAGAAAGAGACATAAAAAGCAAAATAAATTACAGACCAGTTTCTTTTATGAATATAGACACAAAAATTCTCAACAAACTACTAATAGCCTAAATTCAGCAACAGATAAAATAAATTATACACCATAACTAAGTGTGATTTATCTCAAGAATGTAAGTTGGTTTAATATCCCCAAATCAATTAATGTAATATACACCACATCAATTGAATAAAAAATGAGGCAAATATTAATCTTAATAGACTTTATAAAAGCATCTGACAAAATTCAACATCTTTAATAATAATAACACTGAACAAACTAGGAATAGAAAGAAACTTCTTCAACACGATATAGGGCACATACAAAAACCCACAGTTGATATTACATGTAATGGTGAAAGAATGGATGCTTTCCCCTTCAGATAAAGGACAAAACAAGACATCTACTCTCACAACTTCTAGTCAACATTGTACTAGAGGTTATAGCTAGGGCCACAGAAAAGAAAAAAAAAAGCCATCTAGATTGAAAAGAAAAAAGTAATCTCTATTCAGAGATAAAATATCTTGTATAAAAAGATGCTAAAAAAATCTACCAAAAAAAGATAAAAACTCTTTTAGAACTAATAAATGACTTCATTGTAGTTGTAGGGTAGAAAATCAACATACAAAAATATATTATATTTTGATATGCTTGTGATGAACAATCAAAAAATAAAATTAAGGAAAGTCTATTTGTGATAACATAAAAGAGAATAAAATACTTAATAATTAAATAAAATAACAAAACATATGTCCTGGAAACTATAAAACAATATCAAATTAAATTAAATACCTAAATCAATGGAATAGCATTTCATGTTCATAAACTGGAAGACCTTATATTATTAAAATGGCAATACTCACATTCCATGCTCATGGGTAGGAAGAATCAATATCGTGAAAATGGCCATACTGCCCAAGGTAATTTATAGATTCAACGCCATCCCCATCAAGCTACCAATGACTTTCTTCACAGAATTGGAAAAAACTACTTTAAAGTTCATATGGAACCGAAAAAGAGCCTGCATCGCCAAGTTAATCCTAAGCCAAAAGAACAAAGCCGGAGGCATCACGCTACCTGACTTCAAACTATACTACAAGGCTACAGTAACCAAAACAGCATGGTACTGGTACCAAGACAGAGATATAGAGCAATGGAACAGAACAGAGCCCTCAGAAATAATGCCACATATCTACAACCATCTGATCTTTGACAAACCTGACAAAAACAAGCAATGGGGAAAGGATTCCCTATTTAATAAATGGTGCTGGGAAAACTGGCTAGCCATATATAGAAAGATGAAACTGGATCACTTCCTTACACCTTATACAAAAATTAATTCAAGATGGACTAAAGACTTACATGTTAGACCTAAAACCATAAAAACCCTAGAAGAAAACCTAGGCAATACCATTCAGGACATAGGCATGGGCAAGGACTCCATGTCTAAAACACCAAAAGCAGTGGCAACAAAAGCCAAAATTGACAAATGGGATCTAATTAAACTCAAGAGCTTCTGCACAGCAAAAGAAACTACCATCAGAGTGAACAGGCAACCCACAAAATGGGAGAAAATTTTCGCAACCTACTCATCTGACAAAGGGCTAATATCCAGAATCTACAGTGAACTCAAACAAATTTACAAGAAAAAAACAAATAACCCCATCAAAAAGTGGGTGAAGGACATGAACAGACACTTCTCAAAAGAAGATATTTATGCAGCCAAAAAACACATGAAAAAATGCTCACCATCACTGGCCATCAGAGAAATGCAAATCAAAACCACAATGAGATATCATCTCACACCATTTAGAATGGCAATCATTAAAAAGTCAGGAAACAACAGGTGCTGGAGAGGATGTGGAGAAATAGGAACACTTTGACACTGTTGGTGGGACTGTAAACTAGTTCAACCATTGTGGAAGTCAGTGTGGCGATTCCTCAGGGATCTAGAACTAGAAATACCATTTGACCCAGCCATCCCATTACTGGGTATATATCCAAAGGACTATAAATCATGCTGCTATAAAGACACATAAACACGTATGTTTATTGCAGCACTATTCACAATAGCAAAGACTTGGAACCAACCCAAATGTCCAACAATGATAGATTGGATTAAGAAAATGTGGCACATATGCACCATGGAATACTATGCAGCCATAAAAAATGATGAGTTCATGTCCATTGTAGGGACATGGATGAAACTGGAAACCATCATTCTCAGCAACCTATTGCAAGGACAAAAAACCAAACACTGCATGTTCCCACTCATAGGTGGGAATTGAACAATGAGAACACATGAACACAGGAAGGGGAACATCACACTCTGGAGACTGTTGTGGGGTAGGGGGAGGGGGGAGGGATAGCATTAGGAGATATACCTAATGCTAAATGATGAGTTAATGGGTGCAGCACACCAACATGGCACATGTATATATATGTAACTAACCTGCACATTGTGCACATGTACCCTAAAACTTAAAGTATAATAATAATAAAATTAAAAAAAATAAAAATAAAATGGCAAAACTCCTGGTTATGAGCTGAAATGTGTTTCTGGCCCACCTTCCCACCAAATTTGTATGTTGAAGTCCTAGATCCCAGTACACTAGAATGTTACTGTGTTTGGTTATAGGGCCTTTAAAGAGGTAATTAAGTAAAAAGTCATATGGGTGGGCCCTAATCCAATATGACTAGTGTCCTTATAAAAAGAAGACATTAAGACATGAATGCTCATAGAAGGAAGACCACATGAAGTCAGGGAGAACATAGCCATCTACAAGCCAGTAGGAGAGGCTGCAGAATCCATAATATACTCAGAATCTAAGCACATCTTGATCTTGAACACCTGGCCTTCAGAAATGTGGGGAAATAATTTCTATTATTTAAACCACCCAGTCTGCAGTACTTTGTTATGGCAGTTATAGTGAACTAATATAACTCCTGAAATTTATCTACAGATTCAAAGCAATCCATACCACAATCTCATTTGGCTTCTTTGTAGAAATTGTCAAGCTGATTCTAAAATTCATGTGGAATTACAAAGAACCCAGAATAGTAAAACAATGCTGAAAAAGAACAAAATAGGATTCACCACTTCTCCATTACAAAACTTGCTATAAAGCAACAGTAATCAACATATTGTGCTACTAGCATAAAAGTAGGCATAAAGATTAACACAATATAATTGAGAGTCTAGAAATACATTCATGTACCTATACTCTGATTTTCAACCAGGATGCCAAGACCATACAATGTAGGAAAGAATAGTTTCTTCAAGAAATAGTGCTGGGACAACTAGATAGCCACATGAAAAAGAATGAAGTTGGACCCTTACCTCACACCATATATACTAATTAACTCAAAATGTATCAAAGACTTCAATGTAAGAACTAAAAATATCAAACTCTTAGAAAAAAACATAGGGATAAATCTTCATGGCCTTGAATTTGGTACTGAGTTCCAGGTATGCAAATAACAATAAAAGAGATAAACTGGACTTCATCAAAATTAAAAACGTTTGTGTTCCAAAGGACACCATCGTGAAAGTGAAAAAATAATCTACAGAAGAAGAAAAAACAATTTGCAAATCATATATCTAACTGGGCATTTGTATCAAGAATATATGAAGATAGACCAATGGAACAGAATGAAAGTCCAGAAATAAAGTCAAATACTTATAGCCAACTGATCTTTGGGAAAGCAAACAAAAACATAAAGTGGGGAAAGGAAACCCTATTCAACAAATGGTGCTGGAATTATTGGCAAGCCACATGTAGAAAAATGAAGCTGGATCCTCATCTTTTACCTTATACAAAAATCAACTCAAGATGGATTAAAGACTTAAATCTAAGACCTGAAACCTTAAAAATGTTAAAAGATAACATTGGAAAAATCCTTCTAGACATTGGCTTAGGCAAAGAGTTCATGACCAAGAACCCAAAAGCAAATGCAACAAAAAACAAAGATAAGTAGATGAGACCTAATTAAACTAAAAAGTTTCTGCACAGCAAAAGAAATAATCAGCAGAGTCAACAGACAACCCACAGAGTGGGAGAAAATCTTCATAATCCATATATTTGACAAAGGACTAATATCCAGAATCTACAAAGAACTCAAACAAATCAGCAAGAAAAAAACAAGCAATCCCATCAAAAAGTGGGTGAAGAACATGAATAGACAATTCTCAAAAGAAGATACACAAATGGCCAACAAGCATATGAAAAAAGTGCTCAACATCACTAATTATCAGGGAAATGCAAATCAAAACAACAATGCAATAATATCACCTCATTCCTGCAAGAATGGCCATAATCAAAGAATCAAAAAATAATAGATGTTGGCATGGATGTGGTGAAAAGGGAACACTTTTACACTGTTGGTGGGAATGTAAACTAGTACAACTACTGTGAAAAACATTGTGGAGATTCCTGAAAGAACTAAAAGTAGATCTACCATTTGAGCCAGCAATCCCACTACACCCAGAGGAAAAAAAAGTCATTATATGAAAAAGATACTTATACATGCATGTTTATATCAGCACAATTTGCAATTTTGAATACATGGAACCAGCCCAAACACCCATCAAGCAATGAGCAGATAAAAAAAAAAAGTGTTATAAATGTACCATGGAATACTACTCAGCCATTAAAAGGAACAAAATAATGGCATTTGCAGCAACTTCAATGGAGTTGGAGACCATTACTGTAAGTGAAGTAACTCAGGAATGGCCAACAAAACATTGTATGTCCTCACTCATAATTGGGAACTAAGCTATGAGGACAAAAAGGCATAAGAATGATACAATGCACTTTGGGGACTCAGGAGAAAGGGTGAGAGGGGGACAAGAGATAAAAGACAACACATTGGGTACAGTGTACACTGCTTGGGTGATGGGTGCACCAAAATCTCAGAAATCACCACTAAAGAACTTATTCATGTAATCAATAACCATCTGTTCCCCAGAAACCTACTGAAATAAAAAACAAATTAAAAAAAGATGAAATTTTAGAATTCAATAACAAAAAGCAATCTGATTAATAAACAGACAAAGAATCTGAATAGACATTTTGCCAAAGAAGATATAAAAATGGTTAGTAGGCACATGGAAGGATACTTGGCATCATTAGTCATAAAGAAAATGCAGGCCAAAATCAGAGTGAGACACTACTTGACACCCAACAAGATGGCAAAAAGTTTTAAAATTCAGATAATAACAAGTATTGAGAAGGATATGGATAAATTGCTCATACACTGCTGGTGGGAATAAAAATAGGGCAACCACCTTGGAAAATACTCTGACAGATCCTGAAGTGGGTTAAATACAGAGTTACCATATGATATATGTATGTTTCTTAAAAAGGAATAGCTCAGAAAGGTGTCAATCAAAAGATCAAATCAGCAAACATATGGTATACATATATCACATGGTAAATCTGTGTTATATACTATATAACATATGGTAACTCTATGTTTAACCCACTATATAGTTATTCTACTACTAAGTATATATCCAAGACAAATAAAAACATATGTCAAAAAAACACAACAATGACAAAAACTTCTACCAAATATTTATAGCAGCATTATTTATTTATAGTAGCCATAAGGTTTAAACAATGTCTATCAACTAATAAAGTGTGGGATAGTCATATAATGGAATATTATTTAGCCATAAAAAATAATAATGTGATATATGCCACAACATGGATGAACCTTAAAACATGCTAAGTAAAAGATGCCAGTCACTAAAGAGCATGTATTATATGATTCTGTTTATATGAAATGTCAAGAATAGGTAAATCTATAGAGGCAGAAGGTAGATTAGTAGTTGCTTAGGGCTGGGAGGCCTGGAAAAATACCTAAGAGTTACAAGATTTCTTTTGGCCGGCGTGGTGGCTCATGCCTGTAATCCCAGCACTTTGGGAGGCTTAGGTGGGAGGATCACGAGGTCAGGAGATTGAGACCACCATCCTGGCTAACACAATGAAACCCCATCTCTATTAAAAATATAAAATATTAGCCAGGCATGGTGGCGGGCGCCTGCTGTCGTCCCAGCTACTCGGGAGGCTGAGGCAGGAGAATGGCGTGAACCTGGGGGGCAGAGCTTGCAGTGAGCAGAGATCGCGCCACTGCACTCTAGCCTGGGCAACAGAGCGAGACTCCAGCTCAAAAAAAAAAAAAAAAAAAGATTTCTTTTGTAGGTAGGTAAAAATATTCTAAAATTCACTGCAGTGATGGTTTCACATATCTTTAAATATACTAGAAACTGTTGCATCGTCCACTTTAAATGGATGCATGTATAGCATATTAATTATATCTCAATAAAGCCATTTTAAAAAAAGAAAAAAGATAATGTAGGTAAATTTCTTAAAAAATAATTTTGTTGTCTATTTCCAGTAATATTTCCTAGCAGCCTTTGGAAGCAGCTCCTGATACAGGTTGTTTATTTGCTGTCATAGGGATACTATAGAGGGACAATACTACATAGATGAAGTCAAGTTTTCTTCAAATCCTCTCTCCAAGCTTATTTATCATTCCTATTTTTCCTTTTTCCTGCTCCAAAAGAATGCTTGTTTCTTCCTTTCATTTACAGATTAGAAAAATTTGTCAGTGGATGAAAACTCTTGATGATTTCCATAATCTGTCCTTGCCAAAGGCCGTACTGATGTTACATGCTCTGTTTCTCATTCTCTCCTGGCTTACAAACTATTTCCTGCTGTAGTATGCTTTTCTGATACAGAATTAGGAGGAAAATAACAGAAAAAGGACAAGAGGTATGAGTCTGCAATCAACAAGGGACCCATTCACCTAGTTTCCCAGGAACAGTGAAGCCAGGGAGAGTTAGCAGCTGTAGTATGTAAGAAAAGAGGAATTTAAAAAGTATGGTGATAGAATTCCATCATGATATTCAATCTTTTAAGTAAAAAACTTGATAACTTATTTTGAAATTAACCTTTGTTTGCTGATTTGATCTTTTGATTGATACCTTTCTGAGCTATTCTTTTTTAGAAAAATACATGTCCAATAGACTCTCTACTAGCTTTTTGTACACCTGCTTCAAGTCTTTTCTAATTGTTTTTTTTTTTTCATACTATATTTTGGACATTTAACCACTTGGTTCAAGTAGTACTTTTTCTTTCTTTTCAGATGAATAATGTTAACTTAAGTCCTAGCCAAAAAAGAGACAGTGAGAAATAGAAAGAGTAATTGAGCAAGAAATCTGTGTTTTAGTACAGTTTTTACATAAATATCTTTGTGTCTTTGGACTATCTGCTGAAATTCTTTGAGTATCAAGTTTTTTACCTGTTATCTGAGGACAATGTGGTCAGGGCTTGCCTGAATAGACCTCAGCAGGTATATGAACAGCCAGAAATTTTATGCACAATTGTCTCAGGACATATATTTATTTTTTTAAAAAAATTAACTAATTTTTAAATTAATGGATAAAAATTATATATATTTATCAAGTTCAACATGTTTTGAAATATGAATCCATTGTGAAATGGCTCAGTTGAGCTAGTGTACATATGTCTTACCTCACATAGTTATTATTTTATAAAGAGTACACTTAAAATCTATATTTTGGCAATTTTCAAGAATATACTATATTGTTAGTAACTATAGCCACCAAGTTGTACAAGAGGTCTCTAGAATTTATTCCTTGTAACTAAAATTTTGTATCTTTGGACCAACATCTTTCCAACCCACTCCCCCAACCCAGAGTCCCTGGTCATCACCATTCTATTCTCTGCTTCTATGTGTTAAACTTTTTAAATCATATAAAGAGTTCAATCTACATGTAAGTGAGATCATACAGTACTTGTCTTTCTGTGCCAGGCTTGCTTATGGTTTGTTTTTATCGAGAAAGAGATTGTATAGCTTTCAAATGATTTTCCAGTAGGAAAATGATTTTCTTAAAAAGGCCAAAAAAACAAAAACCCTCTGAACTCAGTGTTCTAAGGTCTCTTTTAATTGTAAAATCATAATACCATTTACTACACTACATTGTTTCTGTCTTGAATATTATTCTGTCTTGAATTATAAGAATATTGCTTACCTCTAGCCACACAAACTGGGATTATTTCTCAATTTATGCAATGTTGAGTTGACTATAAAAGAACTGGTTAGAAAATTACAAACTTGTGGTTAGAATGTCCTATTACTTATTTCTGCCTCTACACTCCTTCATTCACAAAGGATTTGTGATTGCTCCTGTACTGGTATCAAAAAAGAAGTGCCACTTAGTTCTGTTTTTTCAGTTGTGTATATCTGTATGTTTTTTCAGTGAAAGGGTCATAATATATCATTCAATTTAGCCCTGAATTTTGAAGATAAGGAAATGAAAATAAACTGGCCATTTCACTGACTTATGTAAGACTGCATTTGTAGTCCTGAGCTGCCCTGGGATCAGTACTCATTCCACCAATCTTTCTGGTCCATCTAGGGCCTTGTTTTGCATTCTGCTCACAGTTTACAGTTTTATCTTATACTTGGATAGTCATTAACTATATTGCCAGAGAAAGTAGAAGACAGTGGAAAATATGATAATATGATTCATTTTCAGTAGTGGGATGATATTTCATTTCAAAAGCATTTGTGCTGGTATAGCTTTGAAGTTGTTTCATATCTGGTGATGTGGTAATTTAAATGAATCTTCACTACTGACTGATACCCAGATTATATTTGTTAAGCCAGAAAGCATAGACTGTGATTTTAGTCACAATTGAACTATAATTCTTATCTTTAGTGTCTTAACTAACACTTTTTCTACAGATGTTTGGGATGTGACTCAATACACAAAATAGGGAAAGTAGAAAGGTCATTGTATGTGTAATGGTATTATACTGGTGAAAAGTAATTGCAGTTTTTGTCATTGTTTAATGCTATACCTTATACTCATAACCTTATAGTCATTGCTATACTTTATATGCCATTTCTTAATGGCAAAAACTGCAATTACTTTTGCACCAACTTAAATCAATGCAGAGAACACACTTTTATTTTCCTTGATGTCTGTAGTTTAATCAAAATGACCTCAAAGTTTGAAGACCTTTATTTTTCCCAGGTAAAATCTAGCCAGGTTGGGTGAGTTGTGCAGAAAACTAAACTGCATTTCTCCAGTGAGACATTTTGGGATAATATACTGTTTGAACCTTGTTTATAGGGAACAAGGGAGTGTTTTCCAGATGATTGTTTCTGATATAAGCAAGAAGCACTCATAAAAGAACAATCCACATACATAAGTAACTTTTATATGACCAGCTGTAGAAGGATGTAGAAAATTTAAAATACTCCTGGAGGCTTAAAAAGGCATATCAGTCAGTGTTCTGCCAGGAAAAACAAAATAAAATAAAACAAAACAATTTTTTAAGACTTTCAAACAGAAGAAATTCAATACAAGGAGTTGTTGATAGATGACATGGAAAAACTGGAAAGCCTGAGGTTGGGACAACTCAGAGATTAGCCACAGCAGGAAGCCCTTACCTTCTTAATGGATAGATAAATCACAAGAAGAGATGTTATCACCGGAACCCAGAAACTGGGACATCTGGCGAGAGGTAAAGCCATGGTACAGGCTGCCTGGCAGGAGCTACAACCATGGATAAAACATAATCGCTGCAGGAATAGCCACTGCAGGCAGAAATATCCCAGCTTTTCTCCTCCTCCCTCTTCCTAATTTTCCATTAATTTCTCCCATTGATAAAATTATTAGAAAGCCAGAGAGTAGAAAGTCTGAGAAATGTAAACTAATACAAAAGAGGACAGAGCAGGGAAAGGCTGGTGAATGAATCTGAGAGCAGATAGGCAGAAGGCAAATACTGGAAGACCTATATGTAGAAACAATGCCAAATGCTAAAATATTAGATGGCAACATCAGAAAATATGTAACCAAGTGCTCAAAATTATACAGATGGGAACTAAAACAGAAGTTAAGACATGAGAAATGTCTCTGGTTGGAAAGGATATGGGTGCAGAAATCAAGAAAGTGGAGATGAGACAGAATTTGTGACTTGATTTGACCAGGAGAAAAAGCAGGGAGATATTAGAGGGTAGAGGTATAGCATAAAAAAAGGCAAACATAAAAATTATCCTAAAGTATGAGATGAGGGTGGAGAAGGAAGGAAGTAGGTGAGATGGTCAGCAAGAAGAACCGAAAAATAATTCCTTCCTCTCATCTTCCCTCTTCCCTCCTTACTTCCTTTCTCCACTAAATCAACAAATGTTGATTGAAAACCTTCTGTTTGCCTGGCACTAATAAGTAGC